>NW_021160019.1:0-270967 GCF_000001405.40 Homo sapiens | reverse complement strand
TGGTCTTGAACTCCTGACCTCAGGTGATCCACCTACCTCGACCTCCCAAAGTGCTGGGATTACAGGTGTGATGCATTGCACCCAGCCTCAATATTCTTTTTGAGTGCTGACATTTCAGAGTCTTTCTCGTGGCTGAGTTTAATTACACACTCTTGCTCTAGCTGTAAGGCAGAGCTCTCCAGGTTAGCTTCAGTGGACAATCTTTTCATGGTTTTCTCAGAGTTGTTTCTTCCAATAGCCTCTTTTCAGCTAGGGGTCTCACTCTGTCACCCAGACAAGAGTGCAATGGTGTGATAATAGCTCACTGCAGCCTCAAATTCCTGGGCTCAAATGATCCTGTTGCCTCAGCCTTTCAACTAGTTGGGAGTACAGGTGCATGCCACTGCTTCTGGCCTTTTTTTTTTTTTTAAATTTTTCATAGAGATGAGGTTTTAGTATGTTGTCCAGGCTAGTCTCATACTCCTGAGCTCAAGTGATCTTCCCATCTTGACCTCCCAAAGTGCTAGGATTACAGGTGTGAGCCACTGCACCTGGCCCCAGAAGATAATTTTTTATTTGTCTTTTACTCTATGTTCAAATTCTTCAATTTTTTGGTAGACTCTACTTTTTCAATTTGTAGAGCTTGCATGAATAGTGTTTTCCTTCTCTTGAAGTTTAGAGAGATCATGTACTGTAATTCCTGAGCCACCTTGCTGTAACAAATTTTCCAGTTCTTCAATCTTTTCTTCCTAATTGCTTAGATTTTCTTGATGCTTACAACTTATTTCCCTCAATTTCTGTTGATGAACATTCTGTAATACTGATAATTCAAGCTGATGGTCATCAGTATCCTGACTTCTTTTTTGTTTGAGCTCCTTGATGATATTAATATTTGGTGTTTGTAGTTTGTAGATTTCATTTTCATCAAAACTAGTTGTTCCTCCTATTTTATAAGTCTGAGCAATACATTTCCAATGGCCAACTGGAGACTCAAGTTTTAGAACTTCATTGGACTATCTGTTTATTTCTTGTTATGATGAAATTATGTCATAAAAACCCATGTAAGCGTCGTGGAACACTGAAGCATGATGGGTACCACATGGAATGGAGGGGATGCAGTGTGGATGGGAACCTCCGGCCTTCCCTGAATGTGCTGACTCCAGGGCTGGCTGCCGGTCCTGCAACCGATCCTGTAGTGCTTGCTTTCTTGTTTTAGGAAGGCTCATTTCTACCTCTTTCTGTTGTAATTGATGTCGATAACTTTTAGTTTGCTGCCCTATCTGAAGCTCTGATGCTTCCTAGGTCTCTCCTAGGTCACTAAAAAGATCTTGAAGTCCCTCATTCTTTGATATTAAGAATTCCAAACTGGCATCAGTCTCCTTTATCCCATAGTTAGGGAGCTCTTTCCTTTTTCTATGACATTTAGGAGCACATTTGAGATGTGGCTGATGAAAGAAGCCACATTGCTGCCCATCCAATGCAAAGAAGGGGCTTACCTGGAGCCAAGGCCACCAAACCAGGAAGACATGAGTGTGTGAGCACGTGTGTTAAGGAAAACACACATTGACTTTAATTTTTTTTTTTTTTTTTTTTTTCGAGACAGGGTCTCTCACTCTGTTGCCCAGGCTGGAGTGCAGTGGCGCCATCTCGGCTCACTGCAACCTCTGCCTTTCGGGTAAAAGCCGTTCTCCTGCTTCAGCCTCCTGAGTAGCTGGGATTACAGGCGTCCACCACCACGCCCAGCTAAATTTGTATTGTTAGTAGAGACAGGATTTCACCGTGTTGGCCAGGCTGCTCTCGAACTCCCGAGCTCAAGTGATCTGCCCCCTCGGCCTCCCAAAGTGCTGAGATTACAACGTTGAACCACTGCGCCCTGCTAGAAACAGCTTTTCATACGTTGAAATAAACGAGAGGGTGACCGGGCAGCGTTGGGGTCGGGGAGGCCAGGCGGAGGAGGCCTAGTGGTCTTCTCGCCCGGGGCCTTCTAGCTCTTCGCCCGTGTCAGGTAAGGCACTGTTAGCCTCGGCTCGGTTCGACTCGGCTCTACTCGGGCTCAGCTCGGCTCGGCCAGACCTAGAGGGCGGGCGGGCGGTGCCACTGGAAGTGACGAGGCGAGGGCGGGGCCGCCGGCCCGGGGAGCCACCGCCGCGCCGCCGTTTGGGCCGGGAAGCGATGTAGTAGCTGCCAGGCTGTCCCCCGCCCTGCCCGGCCCGAGCCCCGCGGGCCGCCGCCGCCACCGCCGCCATGAAGAAGCAGTTCAACCGCATGAAGCAGCTGGCTAACCAGACCGTGGGCAGGCGAGTGCGCCGGGCAGCACGGGGGTCGCACCGGGGCTGGGGGCGGAGGGCGGAGGGCGCGGGGGCGGGACGGCTCCTCCGCGGTCCGGCGGCTCTGAGCTGGGCCGCAGCCCCTGCCCGAGACCAGCGGGGCACGGGCCCGGGGGCTGCGCCGCGCTGAGGCCCGAGCGCCGCGCTCCAGGCGGCCCGCCTGTCTCTCAGCGCCGCCGGGCTCCCGAGACCTGCAGGGGAGGGCCGCCGCCTCCTCCGCCACACCGCGGGGTCCCCTGCCCATTGTCCCTGCCCCGGGAGCATCGCCCTCGGGGAGTAGACCCGGTCCTTCTCCTCCCTTCCCGGGGGCCGAGCCAGCTGGGATCGCTGCCCTGGGCTCAACAACGGTGACTTCTGTCCCTAACGCTGTGCCGAGCGCTGTGCTGTGGGGGGCGGCAGTCCCAGGCTTTCCCGGTGCTCCCGCTGTTTGCGAGTCCTTCTCCTGTAAGTGCATGGCGGCAAGAAATGGCTAGAGGGACATGAAAGCCAGCCGGATTTGCTCAGTGAGTTCAGAACGCCCTTTGAGGGAATTCGGAGGTGGTGCTGTCTCAAAACCAGGGCTCCTAGGAACTGGACTGCTGCTGCCAGTTCTTGACATTTAGAAATTAGGAATTGGCGGAAAAGGATTATGGAGACGCCTTGCGCCAATTTAAAAAGTCTCACCTTAGGTTTGGAAACAAATGCTTCTTTATCTTCCTTTGCTACGGTTGAAGTGCTTAACAAGAAACGTTATTGATTATTAAATGGCAGGCTAGACCAGAGTTGGTAGATCAGGTTGTCAGAACAAGAAATGATTTGTGGTTTTTGAGAGTTTCTGGAGGTGACTGTCATGTGCTGTATTATCTGGGGCTAATATTTCAAGGTCTTTCAGGGCAGCTGGCTGTACTGTACCGATTTAGTGTTTATTCAGCAAAGAGATACGAAAGTATGAATTTCTCACAGCTCTTCTTTTGATTTTCTGTTTTTAACAGTTAAGGGGAGTTTGGTTTGGCTGAAGCACGTGGGACACTTCTTTTTTTTGAGTGTATGAAAATACTTTTACTTCCTCTCGAGTTTTCTAAATTTGCTTTTTACTGTTTCATTTCCTCCATCTTTTTGCTTAGTTTCCTTGTTTAATTTTTTCGATTCCCTACCGTATTATTGTGGTGAGAATTAACTCTTATTTTCAGGGTTAATCGCTGCCCCTAAAGCCCAGACAAACCTACTTTTCTGTTATTTGCAGGAAAATTAAAGAAATAATGCTGAGAGGAAGGTAGACGTGTGGTAATGGCGGCTGATGTTTCAAGGAACAGTTTACAAGCACATGATAATTTCTTGTGAGTTTCGTACCCTTGTTAGTGTTCTGAGCAACGTGCATTGTGGAACTAGTATTTAGTAAGTGCCAAGATACATTTGTCAAATAGTCGTTTGGCTTGTTTTTACATTGTTCGTGACAGGTAAGGGACTTTCACTCTTTTTATACAAAGTTCTGAGACTTAAATCTACCAAGCTATTTAGGGTCTCTTTGACTCCTGGGTCATCTTAGAGGCTTCTCCCTTCACACTTTTTTTTTTTTTTGAGACAGGGTCTCCCTTTGTCACCCAAGCTGGGGTGCAGTGGTGCGATCTTGTCTCATTGCAGCCTTGACTTCCCTGGGCTCAAGCGACCCTCTCGCCTCAGCCACCTATGTGGTTGGAACTACAGGTGGGCACCACCACATCCGCTAATTTTTGTATTTTTTGTAGAGTGGGGATTTGCCATGTTGCCTAGGGTGGTCTCGAACTCCTGGCCTCAACTGATCTGCCTGCCTTGGCCTCCCAAAGTTCTGGGACTACAAGCGTGAGCCACCTTGCCTGGCACCTTCACATTTTAAAATTCCGGCCATGCTTGCCTACCTTCAGTTTCCACAGGAGGTCTTGCTTTCTTACCTGCTAGCATCTACTTGGAACTCCTGGAAGCCTCTCCCACCACACCTTTTCTCCAGGCACCTCTTGCTCATTCTTCAGCCTTCTGGGAAAGGTCCCTCTGCCTCTGAAAGGCCTTCTATGATGCTACAGCATAGATTGGATGCCTCTCCTGGGCGTTCTTGTAATCCTGTGTAGCACTTGCTTTTCTGTGCTGTGACTGCCTCTTGTGTGTGTTCTCCATCAGATAAATACCTTGAGAGTCCTTGCTGTGTCTCCTTTGATTCCCAGGGTCTGCTGTGGTTCCTACCCCATGGCCAGGGTGCAGTAGACATTGTTAATTCTGGTATTTGAGTTCTTACTAGATCGCCTTGGTGGTGTGGGCCCGAGTATGGGAAAACATGAAGTGGATAGAGTAGATGGTGATTCATGCTGGAGCTGTAATTCTGGGCCTGACCTTTGACTGTCTTTAAAAATCTTTATTGCTAGATGCCAGTGGAAGCTGAAGCTATTACAGAACTATTAAGGGTGTGGCAATTATGCACCCAAAGTCAGAACATCTGTTTTTAACTGGGAAACCTGTTGCTTCCTTGCTGTTGATTTCCTAGATGTGTGTGTGTATGTGTTTTCTGCTTAAGTAATCAGAAAGGACTAAGGAAGATAAACGGAGGCTGGAGAGTGCCTAGAATTGTTACTGCTTGGAAGTAGGTGGTTGGTTGGCCCCAGAATCAGGATTCTGGGTGTTTTTAGGTCAAGATGAAGGCTACAAAGCAAAGGGTTTTTTTGTTTTCGCCCCTGCGATCTAGGTGGAGAAGGAAGTTATATATGTGAATGTCATGCCCATCGTGTTTTGGTTTATCAATTTGTGGAATTCTAGGTGGTGTCTTGCAGTGAGATATTCTCCTCAGAAGGGAGACCTTTGAGTACTTTCACTGTAAGGTTCCAGGGGAGGGACTTGTAGAGAATTAGTAATGCCTGGAAGGAATGAGTTCGCATGATGCAGTTTGTTTACGATGGGTGGGTAAGTCTATTTGAGAAGACGGCCTGAAACTCACAGGGGCAAGGCTTATGAGGTGGTCTCATGGTGTGAGTGTCCCAAAGAAGAGAAGTAGGATGGTTCTTTTAGTCCACCTGCCTTTTGTTGATTCATGCATTCAACAGACACTTGTTGAGCCTACACTGTGTCCTGTTATCCAGGGTATTAAAGAATCAAAGGTGAATACGGGCATGGTTTCTGCCCTGAGGGAGCTCAGGAGATACGTGGAAGAGGTAGGCAGGCAAAAAATAATTATATACATGAGATAAGTGCTTAAGAGGGATGGCTAATGCACAGAGCAAAACCCAGCTGTCATTGGATTGAGGGAGGTAACAAAAGCTTCCCAGAGGAGAAAATCTGAGCACCTTTCTCTGCCTTCATTTTCAAGCCCTTATTTCAAATATCTCTTGTATTGATTAGGTCTCTTTTGGTTGTAAGAAAACCCAGTTCATAGCAAAGACGGGAATTGATTGGCTCATAAGTGACCAAAAGAGCCTCTAATAAGTAGTGTGGCTGCAGATTTGGCTTCTTCTGGGGGTTCCACTCTTTTTTTTTTTTTTTGAGACGGAGTCTGGCTCTGTCACCCAGGTTGGAGTGTAGTGGCGCGGCTCACTGCAGCCTCCACCTCCTAGGTTCAAGCAATTCTCCCGTCTCAGCCTCCCAAGTAGCTGGGACTACAGGCCTGTACCACCATGCCCGACTGATTTTTGTATTTTCAGTAGAGATGTGGTTTTGCCATGTTGGCCAGGCTGGTCTCAAACTCCTGCCCTCAGATGATCTGCCCACCTTGGCCTCCCAAAGTGCTGGGATTACAGGCATGAGCCACTGCGCCTGGCCTCGGTTCCACTCTTTAGGTAGGCACTGTGTCCACTGGGAGACTTCCACATCTTCCAAGTCTCAGAGGGAAAGAATACTCATCTCGCAGTCACTGTGGCCCGAGTCCCAGGATTGGCTCTGAATGCTTCTGGGTCACATGCCTTTCCCCAGAAATGGACTGGAGTCAGCGCACCCAAACCATATGGACTGAGAGTGGATGGTAATGGGTGGTAATCAGGCAAGAAATAAAGGTCATGGTGTGTCTTTTGTAGCCCTGCTAAAAAGAGAGATGTTTTGTTTCTTGAAAACCCTTAGATGCAGATCATCACCAATGGTGTTTTTGGGGAGATGATGTCTTGAGTAGAGGAAGGAGTACACTGGGATGAAGACCTTGAAGTTACAGAAGTATCAAGGAGAAAAAAAATTTGAGAGACAACTAGGAGAGCATAGTACTGAGGCTCTGATAGGGAGTGTCTCCTTGGGTGTTGATTTCTTCCCTGACTGAAGTTTCCCTTGGAGGTCTGAATGCTTTCACAGATAGTTGTTTTTTGAGAACCCAAGGTTGTAAACCCAAATGCCTAGAGGGCGAGGCCAGTAAAATGAATCAGTGCTTTGGGCCATGTGAAGGCCTCAGGGGACCTGGAGGACTGTGTCCCACCAAAGGGGCTGCTGTGGTAATGTAGGCCCAGTGTGGACCACCTGTGGAGTTTTCCTGAAATCTGCATTTTAACTAGCTGGCGTTTAATCCAAATTAAACTACGGGGACACTATATGCAGCTGAACAAAATATTTCTGTGGATCACCCAACTGCTTGTCTAGAAGGACTCAGAAATTGACAGTCCCTCTTTTTCATTTATTCCCCTGTACCTTACCCTGATGTTTTCAGTTCTTTGGATTTGTTGAAAAACAGCTCATCCTTTCTTTACTAAAATCTTGAAAAGGTCTGATAGTAACAGTCTATAACATTTCTATGGTGGTTTAGTTTACAAAGTGCTGTACTAAACCACCTGGCTTGGATTTCGTCTCCTGACAATGATAACTTCTCTCTGACAAAGATGGAAACCTGGCTGGGTGGGGTGGGGTGGCTCACGCCTGTAATCCTGACACTTTGAGAGCCCGAGGTAGGAGGATCACTTGAACCCAGGAATTTCAGACCAGCCTGAGCAACATGGTGAAACCCGGTCTTTACAAAAAATACAGAAAACTAGCCAGGAGTGGTGGTGTTTGCCTGTCTCAGCTGCTTGGGAGGCTGAGGTGGGAGGATCAACTGAGCCTGGAAAGTCGAGGCTGCAGTGAGCTGAGATCATGCCACTGCACTCCAGTCTGGGTGACAGAGCAAGACCCTGTCTCAAAAAAAAAAAGAAAAAAAAGAGGAAGAAACCTGACTTTCTAAGTTTGCACAGTTACTGAGTAGTGGCTGAGGCATGGCTTGGGTCCAGGGCCTCTTCCTGTGGTTCCCAAGTGCTTTTGAGTACAGGAACTGGGCTGCCTCTTCACCAGGGAAGGATTAGTGTTTATTAATGTTTATTAAACATCTTCTGTGCTTATGAAGCTGCTGGGCTTGGTGCTTTGCATACTTTTATTTCATTGCATTCTCATAGCCACCCTCTGAGGTGATGTTACTTATTTCTGATTTAATGATGAGGAAGCCAGAGATCAAAGAGGTCATCAAGCTCGCAAGAGACAGAGCCGTGGACCCAAACCCAGGTTTCTGATTCTGCAGCAGCTATAAATTCTGATCACAGAGATCTAATGACCTCTAGGAGTCTTCCACTCCTAGGAGGTATGTAGAATGGACCACTCACTAGGTAGTTGGATCCACTACCAGCAATGTGAATTCTCACACTGAGTCAAAATGTGTCTCTACCTACTGATCCCAGAACAGTCCCCTGCTGCCGAATTGAATGAATCTCATCTCTCTTCCCTGAGTCAGCCCTGCCTGTATTTGATGATCACAAACCTTATCCTTACGTTGCCAGCAGTAACATTCTGCATCCCTCACCCACTCCACTGTGTCCTTTTCCTCCCACTGATCTTCACTCTACCTTTCCTTCCCCCCACCCTTTTTTTTTTTTTTTTGACGGAGTCTCGCTCTGCCGCCCAGACTGGAGTGCAGTGGTACAATCTCGACTCACTGCAACCTCCACCTCCTGGGTTCAAGCGATTCTCCTTCCTCAGCCTCCCGAGTAGCTGGGCTTACAGGCATGAGCCACCAAGCCTGGCTAATTTTTGTATTTTTTAGTAGAGATGGAGTTTTGCCATGTTGGCCAGGCTGGTCTTGAACCCCTGACCTCAGGTGATCCACCCACCTTGGCCTCCCAAAGTGCTGGGGTTACAGGCGTGAGCCACCACGCCTGCCCACTCTGCCTTTTCTAGGGGAACTCTGAACAGTATTTCTGAGAAGGGATAGGTAATGTGTGCTTTGCTTCAATCTGAGTGGATTCCATCAACCTCTCCATAGAGCAGGGTGGAAAGAGGTCCTCTTGTCGTTGCAGCAGCTTCTCAATCTCATCTTTTATGGCCTTATTATGTAGTTTACATGTTAAGAAATCCAGAAGTATTTATAGTTGAGTGAAAATCCATTCTTTACTGGGGGGAAGAAATGAACTCTAAAACCATAAAAATGATGAACCAGTAGAAAATTTTCATCTGTAAATTTGAACCATAAAAGGATATGTTCATTTAGCATCATTTTTATATGTGTAAGCGGCATGTTACGCTATTATGGAATTGCCTTTGTAGCAGAGTGGACGAGGCAAAACCTTCCAAGTTTGATTATGGCCTAGGGCGCTGCAGTCAGTACGTGCACCGTGCATTTTTGTCAGACCACAGGATGTTTCACCTTTATCATTCTATTTCAGTTTCTCAAGTGTAGGTAGATGCTGTAGTAACTAGTGAAGTACAAATCCATGTAAAAATGTTAAACTCTCATCTGTTCGCTGTGTTTGTATTTTCTTAAAGGTAGGGATTAAAAGTGTAATAGGCCCACAGTCCCTTATCTGGAATCATTGGGCCAGATAAGTTTTAGAATTCAGAATTTTTCAGATTTTTCTAAAAGTAATAATATGCATATATTGTTGTTATGTAATACTTCCAGTGGGGTCTGGGACAAAATCCCATAATCAAACATTAGTATAGCAAAATATATATACATATATTCCCACTGAATGGATATGCATGAAGATTATGCATAGTTTAATATCAGTTCAGGTCAACTTTTATTGCCAAATAAGTTACAAAAAAAGATTTGTTTTTTAGAACTTTTTGGATTACAAAATGGTGATAGGGATTGTGGACTTGTCTTACTTTTAGTTATATACCTATTGAGAGTCTGTTAAATTTTTTTACTGTAAATAATATTTCCCATATTCCCAAAGGTTGGAAACCACAATCACATAAGCAGGGGTCACAAACCGAAGTGCCAGGTTGGGTAAAATAAATAAGTGAAATGGGAGGCGGGTATAGGACAGTAGGGAATGTGGGGACTGCAGTGAACTGGTGAATACATGTTCATTCAAAGGGGAGAGCTGCTCTTCAGTTCTAGCCACTTGTTGCCATGGTGAACGTGGGAGTAGTGAAGCTACATCTTCCATTTTTGATGATACTCCAGAATGCTGATTTTCATGTGAAGTTTCTTGATATTTAAATGTTGGCAACTAAAAAGAAAAAAACCCACTGTTGGCCAAAGAAAACATCTGAAAGCATTATCTGGCTGTGGGCTGCCTGCTTTCATTTGTAGTTTAGAGACTAATGCTTGTGGTATGAAAAGTTGTCAGTGAGCCGGGTGCAGTGGCCCATGCTTGTAATCTCAGCATTTTGGGAGGCTGAGGTGGGAGGATCACTTGAGACCAGGAGTTTGAGACCAGCCTGAGCAACATAGCAAGATCCTGTCTCTACACACGCAAAAAGTTTAGCCAGGCATGGTAGCATGTGCATGTAGTCCCCAGCTACTTGGGAGGCTCAGGTGGGAGGATCGCTTGAGCCTGGGAGGTCGAGGCTGCAGTGAACTGTGATCCTGCCACCGTGCTCCAGCCTGGGTGATGGAGTGAGACCCTGTCTCTAAATAAGTAATTTGTCAGTGGCATTCGTAATGAACTACTTTCTTGAGATATGGATGGGTGCATTTGCTTTATTGTTATTCATTATGCTTTACATACACACTATATGTTCTTTGCACATAAAATATTTCATAATAAAAATCTAAAGAAGTTGATAAGCACTTTATTTTAGCATTGCCTTATTTTCTAGCCATTAGGAAATTTTCATCTGTAAATTTGAAACTTTAAACTTATTTATCTTGGAAAAGGGACTGAAAGCCCCACTTCAAAAATAGGAGCCCTCTTTTTAAAAAGTAGGAGTTAAAAGAGGTTAGATTGTAATGTTCATTCCTTTCCAGGGCCATAGTGATCTGAAGTAACATTGGGTATTCACTGTTATATTGCGACAGAGAAATGTCCTCGATCTCCTTTCTTCTCAGACCGTTCCCCTGGGTGATCTCAGCCCCATAACTATCACCTCATGGTGACAGTTTTATGCCTCCAGCCCTGGGGTCTCTTTATCCCTAGAATGATGCTATCATCTCTCTCTTGAAAAATCTCTGCTGACATGGCCTGATAAAATTGAACCCATGAACTTCTTCCTCAAATTGGCTTCATTTCCCTCTATCTTCTAGTCTGTGAGTCACGAGACTTTGGCCTGCAGGGTAAATCCAGCCCACCGCTTGCTTTGTGAAAAAGTTTACTGGAACACAGCCACTCACTACAGTGGCAGGGTTGAATAGTTGCAACAGTGACCCATATGGCCTGCAACGCCTATGGTATTTATCCTCTGGCACTTCATAAGAAGCATGTGACCCCTGCCCTAGGGCATTAAATGCCCTCACACCCTCCCTAGTCACCTGTCAGTCCCATTCTTTTTCCTCCATCATCTCAGTCAGGTGAGGAGACTGGAAATTCTGCCTCTTTGATTATCTTTTTCTTTTTTTTTTTTTTTTTGAGACGGAGTCCCTCTCTGTCACTCAGTCTGGAGTGCAGTGGCATGATCTCGGCTCACTGCAACCTCTGTCTCCCGGGTTCAAGCGATTCTCCTGTCTCAGCCTCCTGAGTAGCTGGGACTACAGGCGCACACCACCATGTCCGGCTAATTTTTTTTTTTTTTTAATTTTTAGTAGAGACAGAGTTTCACCATGTTGGCCAGGCTGGTCTGGAACTGACCTTGATTATCTGTTGACTTCATCTTTGCTTCCCAGAGGCCATCCTTCCTGTTACCTTAATTAGGTGCTCATTATTTTTCACTTGGAGTCAAATTTGTCTTCCAGTTGGCTTTGCTGCCTTGAGCTGGCTTGAGCTGGATTGTATCTACAATTCCCCAACCTTCTGTTTGACATGGTCGGTCACCATTTTAATGATTATAGCTGCTCACCTCTAAATTACTTTTTCATGATGAATTCTCTAGAGGTTAGAATCACTAGATTTATAGGAAATTAATGTTTATATCATGACAGTATTGCCAGGTTGTCTCCTAAGATGATAATGCCGTCATTTAGTTTGTAGTGCAGAAAGTGATGTTGCGCAATAATGTGTGTCATTATGCATGACATGATGAATATCACATTTCACCATCACCTTAGTTGCATTAGATATTGTCCTTAAAAAATTTGTTATCTATTTAAATTTTTTCCACTAAGTTCAAAATGAATGTGTTCTTACATTTGTATTTCTTTATATGAGTTTTCTCTGTATGTGTCATTTGTTTGTCATGGAATTAACGTTTAGTTATCAGTTTCATTGCTCAGTTACCAATTTAGTTCAACAAATGTCTCTTGAGAACCTGTCAAATGATAGGGGCTGGGGTTAAAAATATAATTGATCCCTGGGGACTTGAATGTGGAGACAGAGCTACAAACAGATAATCTGAATGTAACCAGTTTTATCTATTCTAGCAGATCTTAGGTGCTGTTAATGAAATCTTAATGCCATTCTTTGATGTATTTATGTACTTTAATATAAACAAGTTAGCATTCTTGTTCATAGATATGTTCCTCAACAGATACAGTGATGAAACCTTGCACATTCATGACTAGGTACAGATTTAATACAAGTTTCAGAAGATAAAGCTGATTCTATAAAAAATCTAAGATTTCTATAAGAAACTGTCTTTTAAATAGGTAGAGCCTATTATTTATAGCAAATAAAATAATAGGCATGTTTGATATAAAAACAATATTCAGGCTGGGTATGGTGGCTCACGCCTGTAATCCCAGCACTTTGGGAGGCCAAGGCGGGTGGATCTCCTGAGGTCACGAGTTTGAGACCAGCCTGACCAATATGGTAAAACCCCATCTCTACTAAAAATACGAAAATTAGCTGGGCATGGCAGGCAGGCGCCTGTAATCCCAGGTACTCAGGAGGCTGAGGCAGGAGAATGGCTTGGACCCAGGAGGCCGAGGTTGCAGTGAGCCAAGATCGCACCACTGCACTCCAGCCTGGGCAACAGAGTGAGACTCCATCTCAAAAACAAACAATATTCAGTTCATTTCAGCCATGCATCTTGTGAGACTGTGTTTCCTCTGTGTTAATTACAGCTTATTGATTATTTGCATTGGCTACTTCCTTTTGATTATCCCAAGATGTTTCTCTCTTCCTCTCCTTTCCCACAGCTCTTCTTTTTGGACGTCTTCCTTATCAGAGATACCTTTTGGTTTAGTAGTCAATTTGATCTCTCCTTTAATGTTTCATTAGCATTTCTTCTGTAGTTACTCAGTGTTCTTCCACATGGTTTGGCCAAATTTATACTTCTTAAAGAGTTTAAATTAGAAATCACAGACCAAGTAAACAGGTGCTCAAATGAATATAAATCTTAAATAAATGTACAGAAATTATTAAAAGCACCCATCAGCTGTTACCTGTCAGTGTGAATATGTATAAATCAAGCAGCTTGGATATCACGTGGTCATTGGATACTTTCACATGCCTGGGCTGGAGTGACCATTTGAAACCATGGCCAGCGGTACTTTGGGGAAATACACCGAAGTGTTTCTACTTCACCAGATACAGTGAGTGCTTGGATGGAGGGAGTGTGGGCACAGGCACAAAGCAGGGGAGTCTCTGAGATGTGCCTGGGGGTTCAGTGAGGACTCCGCTGGGCATGTAACGTGAGCAATCATTTTTAAACAAATTTTTTCATGGAGGCAGAGTCTTGCTATGTTGCCCAGGCTGGTCTCCAACTCCTGGCCTCAAACAACTCTCCCATCTTGGCCTCCCAAAGTTGTGGGATTACAGACGTGAGCCACTGTGCCTGGCCTTGAGTGATCTTAATAACTGGCAGGTGATAGAGAATTCCAAGGGTAGAGATAGTCCTAGGGGAAACCTAACACTTGAAGAGTTTATCCTTTAACTTAATATTTTTTTTTTGTTTGTAAATTGGGAAAAAGGCAACCATTATGTGATTCTTAGCAGGGGAGCAACTCTCTCCAGCTCTTCTATTTTCAAATCACTTGGGTAGTGATTGCTATTTTCTGATCCATTTGTTAAGTATTTGTAGTATTTAAATTCACAGCCCCTGGTTGCATTTCCATCCAATAGAAGGTGTAAGTTGGTTCTTCAAAGCTTTTTTTTTTTTTGAGATGGATTCTTGCTCTGTCACCCAGGGTGGAGTGCAATAGCACAGTCTCAGCTCACTGCAACCTCTGCTCCAAGGTTCAAGCGATTCTCCTGCCTCAGCCTCCTGAGTAGCTGGGATTACAGGTGTGCACTACCACTCCCGGCTAATTTTTGTATTTTTAGTAGAGACAGGGTTTCACCATGTTGGCCAGGCTGATCTGGAACTCCTGGCCTCAAGCAATCAGCCCTCCTCGGCCTCCCAAAGTGCTGGGATTACAGGTGTGAGCCACCGCACCCAGCTGGTTCTTCCAAGTTTTAAAAAGCTTTAAGGCCAGGCATGGTGGCTCATGGCTATACTCCCAGCACTTTGGGAGGCTGAGGCAGGCAGATTTGATGCCAGGCCAACACGGCGAAATCCTGTTTCTACTAAAAATGCCAAAATTAGCCAGGCATTGTGGTGCACACCTGTAATCCCAGCTACTTGGGAGGCTGAGGCACGAGAATCGCTTGAACCTGGGAAGCAGAGGTTGCAATGAGCTGAGATCCTGCCACTGCAATCCAGCCTGGGCAACAGAGTGAGACCCTGTCTCAAAAAAAAAAAAAAAAAAAAAAGCTTTAAAGCTAGCATACTCTTGTTTTATTTGCCCTGTATAAGCTGATGGAGACCTTTGCCCCAAATAGACAATTTTGTTATACATTGAATATCAAGTATCATTTCTCACAATGTAACTTATTATTTTCTCTAATTTCCATTTTACTTGTATATCTCCTGTTAGAGCCTCTTTTTTTTTTTTTTTTTTTTTTGAGACGGAGTCTCGCTCTGTTCCCCAGGCTGGAGTGCAGTGGCATAATCTCGGCTCACTGCAACCTCCGTCTCCTGGGTTCAAGCGATTCTCCTGCTTCAGCCTCCCGAGTAGCTGGGATTACAGTTGCCCACCACCACACCTGGCTAATTTTTGTATTTTTAGTAGAGAGGGAGTTTTACCATATTGGTCAGGCTGGTCTCAAACTCCTGACCTCAGGTGATCCACCTGCCTTGGCCTCCCAGAGTGCTGGGATTACAGGCGTGAGCCATCGCGCCCAGCCAGAACCAGTTTAATACTCCCATTGCTTTTGCATTTTTGTACTTGCTGGGGTTCATAATAATCCTCAAACAACCCCAACATAGCAGGACTAAAATACAGGCCATCCATGGCCTGGAGCACCAACTTTTGAGAGCCAGGCGATGTTGATTGGCTTCTGTCGTCATCTGTGGAAGTCCATCGTTAGAAAAGCTTCTGTTCCAGTTTTAGGGGGGAATGATGGTTTGAGGGCTACTGTGGTAGAACTTGGGGAACTCTTTTCGGCAAAAGGTTGAGAAAGTTGGTGCTGTGGGAAGTCAGCTGGCAGCCGATGGAGTCAGGACCAGGGAGGAAGGGAAAGGGAACCCAGATAGGAAGCTACTGCAGTAGGCTCAGAGAGGTGATGACGGCAGGGCTAAGACAGCAGCCTTGGGCGGTGACTGGGAAGAACATTGAACACCATGTTTGGGCTGAAGAAAAGAGCAAGGGAAGAGGTGAGGAGCTTCAGGTTAGGGTTGATGTAGATGTTATTTACATAGGGAACAGTAATTCTTCACTTTTTCATTGTTTTACAATGATTCCTTTTTAGAAACATATAATTGTGATATTTTCTTTGACCTTTTATTGGGCTTTCTATTCTATTCCATTGATTTATGGCTTTGGGTGTGTGTATATGTTTGCATCAACATTTTTTTTTTTTTTAGATGGAGTCTCGCTCTGTCACCCAGGCTGGAGTGCAGTGGTGCGATCTTGGTTCACTGCAACCTCTGTCTCCCAGGTTTAAGCAATTCTCCTGCCTCAGCCTCCCCAGTAGCTGGGATTATAGGTGCCCACCACCATGCCCGGCTAATTTTTGTATTTTTAGTAGAGACAGGGTTTCGCTTTGGTCAGATTGGTCTTGAACTCCTGACCTCAGGTGATCCTCCTACCTTGGTCTCCCAAAGTGCTGGGATTGCAGGCATGAGCCACTGCACCTAGCCTGCATCAGTATGGTTTAATAACTGTTGATCTGTAATATGTTTTAAATTGGGTAGAGCTGGTCTCTTACAAATACTCTTTTTCAGGCTGGGTTTGTGGCTCACGCCTGTAATCCCAGCACTTTGGAAAGCTGAGGCCGGAGGATCGCTTGAGGCCAGGAGTTCAAGGCTGCAGTGAGCTGTGGTCCTGCCACTGCACTCCAGCAAGAGACCCTGTCTCATTAAAAAATAATAATAAATATTCTTTTTTCAGTATCTCTCTTACTTTTGTATAAAGGCGAGTTTTGGCATCTCATCTTCTCTAGTTTCTAGAAAAAATTATTTAGGATTTTGATTGAGTTGGGACTCATTTATTCAAATGATGTTTATTGGGTCCCTGTTGTGGGCTAGGCTCTAAAGGTTCAAAAATAAATAAAACCCAGGTTTTTATGGCCTAATAAATCTGTGAACTAAACTTTGAGAATTGATATCTACAAGATGAGCATTGCACATGACTTTGTGTGTACAATCTTTTATATGCTTCCCAGGTATTTTTTTTTGTTTTTTAAATTGAGAATAGTGCCTATTTACTAAACTATGCAACTGATCATTTTTGTTATTTTAGGTACATAATATTATCAGTGTTGTGCTTCTATTTCTGCTTTTGCTATTTAGTTCAATGATTTCTTTTTCATCCCTTATTTAATTGGTTAGACTCCAAAATAGTGTGTAGCTGTATAAATGTTTATAGGAATATTGTGTAAAGGGCATATGATTCTACCTTTATTGGACATTTCAGGAACATGATAAGGACTATTTAAATCCTGCTAAAATACAAGTGTTGTAATATGAATTGTTCCCAATGGAAGTTTGCAAGCAACGTTCTCCTCATTTTCGAACCACACAACTTTTAGTGTGTCTGCTATTTGAGCTTTATTCTGTGTCTGTTTTGTGTCATGAGGTTGGCAGGTGATCTTAAATGCAGAATGCTGAATTTGTAGTAGTCCAACTATATGGAGAAAACAATTGCAATGCACTTTAGATTTAGGAACAAATTGGAGGAGAAAGTTGAGAAATGGTAAGAGGAGTTTTAATGGAGCGTATGTGGCAGTATGCTAATGTCACTTCTAAAGAAGAGGTGGTTAGCAGGTCACAAGGCAGTAGACTGAATTGTAGCCTCTGAATCTCAGGGCAGTCTTTAGGAATGGAAACCTTGCTGCCTGTAGATTTAGGTAGAGGTTTTAATAACCCCCCCGTTGCCAGAAAAAATCATCCACACACAGATTTGCCTATAATCTTATGGACTTCACAGACATCCTCAAGCGCATGGACAAAAACCCCAAGATTCAAGAAAAGCCGTCCACATGGTCGGCAGCTCAAGAAAGCCTGCCAGTTGTCCAAGCAATGCTTAGTTACAGTTCCCATGCTGGGAGCTGCTCTCTAGAGAAATGTTATTTGCAGATGTGCACCTCGTGCGTCTGTGTGTGTTGTTCTGCCTGTGTCCAAAATACATGCTTTTTCTAGATGGGAGCCTTTCCCCCACAAAGCAGAAATGTGTTCTGTCATGGGATTTGATGATCATCAAATTACTTTCCCTCAAGAATTGGCTTTCTTGGCGATTAGTTAATTCAGTTTTCAAAACTTTTAGATAAGGGCTTAATCAACGTAAAACTGCTTTGGGGCAGTTGCATTGTAGTAAAAAGTGTATTGGACTTGAGTCTGAGGGCTTGAGATCCTGTCTGTACTGTTTACTCGCTGTGTCTGTGACCTTGGTCCAATCAGCCACTCTGCTGTGTTCCTATACGTGAGAAACGGCTCCTGATACCACCAGGAGCAAGCTCTGCTGTGTTTAAGAAGGTGGTGTGTGCTAGGGAGGCGTCATGAGACAGTGAGGACATACAGTGTGACACAGCAGGTCAGCACTGGGGAAAATAGCCAGGTTAGCCTTCACTTCACTGCTCTATGCCAAAATACATTCCAAATGGGTTAAAGCTTTCATGTAAAAAATAAAACCACAAAATAAATACAAGAAAATATAGCTTATTGTGGAAAGTACTGCATGCTTTGGCATAAAAATGTGGAGAAAGAACAATAAAAGATAGCCTGTAGGTGGGACATGCGACTCCCACCTGTATCCCAGTTGTTAGGGAGGCGAGGCAGGAGGGTCATTTGAGGCCAGGAGTTTGAGCCCAGCCTGATTAACATAGTGAGGCCCGTGTCTGTAAAAGGAATTTTGGAAAAATTAGCTGGGTGAGGTGGCACACCCCTGTAGTCCCAGCTATTTCAGGAGGCTGAGATAGAAGAATCCTTAGAGCCCAGGAGCCGGAGCTGCAGTGAGTCATGATTGTGCCCCTGCAGTCCAGCCTGGGTGACAGAGTGAAACCCCATCTCTAAAAAATAAATAAATAAATAAATAAATAAATAAAACACCTGTAGATTTAACCACATAATAACTACACTTCTGTCTGTTTTATTATATCAAAGTTAAATTTAAAACGATGACTAATTGGAAAAAACTGAGAGCAACCACTACAGAGGTGAATATACTGAATGTATAAAGCTCTCTAGTAATTTTAAGAACTCCGCTCTAATGAGCAGATATCACAGACAGAAACTTCTCAGATGAAATACCGATGACCAGGAAATCTGTGAGACCACTTTAAAAAATTCGAAGTCATTGAAGAAATGCAAAGCTTCCAGGCTCCACTTTTCACTGATGAAATTGGCAGAGTTTGGGACAATGAGATGTTGCTGTCCCGGGAGTGTGGATGGGGCTGTGTCCTGTGATGGCGGTGGGCACTGGCACTCTTGTCCAGAAAGACATTCGCCACTGTGGTTCAAGAAGCACCTCAAAGGTCTTCACCTTGGTCCCTTGTCCACCTCTGCCCGCGGTCTCTCCTCCTTTCAGCCTCCTCTTTCCCACACAGTCCCTCCCGCCCTGGCTTGGTCCCCTTTCTTCTCTGATGGGGTCAGGCATGTGGGTGACTGACTTCCAAGGCTCTGTCTACCTGGCCTTTTTCTTTCACCTGTTCTGCGGAATAATAGCCTGATTCATTCCTCTTTTTGGGTCCTTCACTTCCATACCTGGGATTCGGGGCGTGGCCCAGAAAGACCCTGCAGTCGTGCAGTGTGGGGCTGCCAGCATTTCATGGCCTCCAAGCTCAGCTGGGCTGAATGAATGCTGCCGTCCAGCGCTTGGCTTAGTTTTCTGTCCCGTTTTCCTGAGTGCTTTTGCCAGACTTTCACTTTTCTGAAACCTACTTCACCCTACCCCAGACACCCACCCTCTCTCCTTGGATGACCTGCCTCCTAATTTCCTAAGAAAACTGGACATGGCCACCTTTCCCCAGTGTCTGAGGCCCAGGTTGACCCGTGGTCATGGTTGCCGTCACCACCCACCTGCCTGGACCCCACCCTCTGTCCAAGGCCCCGCCACCTGTGCCGCTGTCCTGGGCGCTGCCTTGCCAGCCTCCCCTCTGTGCCATGCACCTTTCACCTCCCTCCATCTGCTGCCTGTTTCTTCTTGGCTGCTCCTCATGGTCAGGCTTTTCTCAGCCCTCCCCTTCCTTCTGGGGCTTTGCGTCTTCCTCTGTCATCCACGCTCTGCGTCTTGGCTTCCCAGGACCCTCTCCTCCCACTTTCCTGTCCCTGACGTCCCTGTGCCCGGGGCCCAGTTTGCATCATCAGCCAGTCCCTCATCCATGCTTCACCCGCACCTCGCTCCTGGCTTCTTCCCTGCCCTCCCTGGGGACTCCTATCCTGTCCCCTGCCCTGGTTCTCCTTCCGCTGTGTCCCAGGGCCTCCATCCTCAGCCTCCGTCTTCTCTGCAGGGTCTGCTTCTGCATGAACTCCCCCAGATCCGTGTTTGCTGCTGGTCCTCACAGCAGGCTCTTCGTTTCTGGACCAGATGTCTTTTCTGTGCTTCAGAACCATCTAGAAAAAAGGGAACTGGATATCTCCACCTGAATGTTCAACAGGTCCCTTCACCCAGCATTTCCAGAGCTGACCTCATTGTACCTTCATATCCTCCCAGTGTTTCTCTTTTGGTGAGGAAAAACACACATTGTCCAGCCAGTCCCTCAAGGCAGAAACCTGGTGGTCATCCTCAGCTCCTCCCCCTCACTTCCTGTCCACCCCCAAGTCACCGAGTCCTGTTCCTTTCTCCTTTGCAGTGGCTCTCTGTGCCCTGCTCTACCTACCCACTATTTAGTGTGGGCTGTCCTCCATCTCACTTGGATCTCGTGTTTTGGGGACTCTTCAGATTCTCCTCCATGGCTTCCCTACCCGGCAGCATATCTTTCCCTCACATATTCCACACTGCAGCCAGAGGGATCTGCCAAAGAAATAATTGTGATAATGATAGAGAATGCGCATCTGGGTGTATACTGGGTGCCTTGCACTAGTCCAAGTGCTAATGACAGAGAATATATATCTGGGTGTGTACTGGGTGCCTTGCACCAGTCCAAGTGCTAATGACAGAATATGTGTCCGGGTGTGTACTGGGCGCCTTGCACCAGTCCAAGTGCTAATGATAGAGAATATGAGTCTGGGTGTGTACTGGGCGCCTTGCACCAGTCCAGGTGATAATGATAGAGAATGTGCATCTGGGTGTGTACTGGGCACCTTGCACCAGTCCATGTGCTAATGACAGAGAATATGTGTCTGGGTGTGTACTGGGCGCCTTGCACCAGTCCAAGTGCTAATGACAGAGAATATGCATCTGGATGTGTACTGGGCACCTTGCGCTAGTCCAAGTTGTGTATTGACTTGTTTAATACCCACCAGACCCTGTGAAGTCAGTATAGTGTTATCCCTTTTATAGGTGGGAACCAGAAGCACAGGGAGATTGAGTAACTTGTGTGACATGATTTCTCCATATTCTAGACAGAACAAAAACCATTTTTTTTTTTTTGGTTGTCCCTATGTTGCCCAGGCTTGTCTCCAACTCCTGGCCTCAAGCAATCCTCCTGCCTCGGCCTTCCAAAGTACTGGGATTACAGGTGTGAGCCACCATGCCAGGAATTTTTTGAGCTTTCTAGGAATCAGCACTTTGCTTATATTATCTCTTTCAATCTTTCCAATCTGTAAATTAGATATTCTTAATATCTCCATTTTTACGGGAAAGGAAATGGAGACACAGAGATTACCCCGCTCTTAGGTGGTGAACGGGGCTTTGACTCCCTGCATATTTGCTCTTAGCCACTTCACCCACCTACAAGGAGCTAGCACCTTGCTTGGGGTAGAGGGAGGGCACCTTCTGAACATGCTTTAGTGGGTGTTTTTCTGTTCTGCTTTCCGAGTTGTGGGTGGCAAAGGAGATGTGCATGCATAAGATGTTCTCATTACTAAGAGTGCTTCTGATGATAACAAAAGACCAATATCCTGTTGGAGCAATGTCCAGATATGATGAAATGCTAGATTTGCCTGGTAACGCTGAAGAAATTTTTTTATGAATGCTCCATCCCCAGAAGACTCTCGCTCCTGCCATTTGATCAGTTGATTTTATAATATGAGCATTGGTAAATTCTTAGGAATACAACTATCATAATAACATGTTATGGCACAACAAATTTAACTGTTACTCCACTGGTAGGTTCCTGAAATTATTGATGATAGGAAGATTCTTCAGTGCAGAGAGGGATTTAAGACGTTATGGGAGACATTTTAGTTAAGATGGTTGACTGAAGACATATTTATTTCCCTCCCCCCCCAAAAAAATAAAATTCACTGAAATGTTGGGAATTTTTTTTAAGTCTTAGAAGTTAAAAACCATTGTGCTGAAATCCCTGGTGTACTTATGAAGAAGTAGGTGGCTTGCACCTGTAGTCCCAGATACTGGAGAGGTTGAGGCGGGAGGATTGCTTGAGCCCAAGAGTTTGAAGTGAACCTGGACCACATAGCAAAGCCCTTGGTCTCTTAAAAAAAAGAGAAGAAAAAGTTGGTCTATAGAGAAGTAAAGTGAGTGCAGTTTTATTTGTTGGTTCATTGTCCAAGCCTGGTTTTCCTTTGTTTAAATGCATGTAACAGCCTTTCTGAAGATTTTTTTTTTTACATTTGCTGCCTGGTACTCATTTGAAGGCCCAGAGTCCGGCAGAGTTCCTTTCCGTGTTTTCCGCAGTCCTTCAGTTTGGTTCGCACACCTGATGGCCTAGAATTGGGCTGGCCCTTGGCTCTCCTGCCCACCCTGGTGGTGGATTGCCGCTGGCTCCTACTCAGTACAAGGCCCAGATACTGAAAACTTTCATTTAGTCACTTATGTATTCAGCAAATAAGTTTGCTCACAATCTTCAGCAGATCCCGTGTACCTGAGCTTAAATGGGGTGGGGTTCTCCCCCAGCCATGTCACCTGCCTCTGCTCCTCCCTGCTCTCTCTTCCCTCTCTTCTCCCTGACCTGGGTGCTCTTGTACTATCCAGCCTCTGGGTTTCCAACTCATCCAGTAGGTCTCAGAAGCCATCACCAGTTTCAGGATATCTTTCTGATATCCCAGGTCTGCATTCAGGCCCCTCCTGTCATGTCTGTAACCCGCAACAATTTAATGTGCTTCTCTGTGCCTAGGTTTCTAAATCTCTAAAATGGGTATGACATGGTTTGGCTGTGTCCCCACTCAAATCTCATCTTGAATTGTAGTTCCCATAATCCCCACGTGTCGTGGAAGGGATCCCATGGGAGGTAATTTAATTATCGGGCCATTACCCTTATGCTGTTCTAGTAATACTGAGTGAGTTCTCATGAGATCTCATGGTTTTATAAGTGACTTTTCCCCCTTTTGCTCGGCATTTCTCCTTGCTGATGCCATTTGAAGAAGGACGTGTTTGCTTCCCCTTCCACCATGATTGTAAGTTTCCTGAGGCCTCCCCAGCCCTGCGGAACTGAGTCAATTAAATCTCTTTCCTTTGTAAATTACAGAGACGTGGGTATGTCTTTATTAGCAATGTGAGAACAGACTAATACAGGTTATAATAGTGGTATCAGTCTCATGGTTGTCTTGAGGATTAGGTGGGTTAATACAAGTAAAGTGTGTATTAGGTGGTTAAGAACAGGGTCCCTGAAGTAATATTGCCGAGATTCAGAGCCTAGGTGGGAAACCCTGGGCAATCGCTTAAGTTCCCTGGGTGCATCAGTTTCTTCCTCTGTAACACGGGGGTAATAATACTTATCCCGTAGAGTTCAGTTCTTGCAAAGCACCTGGAACAGTGCTGAGCATGTGATATGAGCTCAATAAATGTGGGCTGTGGTGATAGTGACAACTCCCAGGGACCCTGCACTTCCCTGTTGGAACCGTCCTTGCACTGGAGTATAATGGCTTATTTTCCTTGATAGTCCTTGAGCTCTGGCAGAGCAGGGGCCCTATCTTACTCATGATGGCTCATGGAAGGGAACCCGAAAATATTTGTTCAGTGACTAACCAAATGAAAAGTTAGTGCAAAGTATGCATGACACCAGCCTGTGGTTGAATTTGTTGATGGGCTGTGTAGCTCCACTCAGTTAAGGCTTACTTATCCTGAATAGCTTTTTTGACAAAACACCTCATTAAAAAGCAATCAGATTTCTGTTTTAAGGTATTTACAGTGTCCTTTCATCCATCAGGCACTCCTTTCTTTGACCTTAGAAAAGGGCAAGTGGAGATTTAGGGTGTTCCCCACCCAGAATCTACCATCATCCCTCAAAAACTGCCTCGCCCTGACTTTCCAGGTGACTATTTTTTCTTCATTTTGTGCACCACGCTAAGCATGGAACTTCCTGGGCCACATCTGTGACGTGTGTTTATTGTAGAATTCCAGAGGAGCCACCATTATTCAGATTTTCAGCACTAGATGCCTGTTTAAACCGTGCAACATTTGTCATTTTTGGAGTTACAGTCCTACGTTTGCAAAGCCCAGTTTGGAAGGTTTCAAAATGTTCCCTCCTTTGCTATTTTGTTCTAGTCTCTTAAAAGTCCTGTGAGAATGTTGATGCAAATATAAATAAAGTAAGGGGCAGAAAGGTTAAGGGATGTATTTTTAGATGCTATGGTTAGTTTGTGGCGGAGTTAGGGTCAGAACATAGCTTGCAAATTTAAGAGAAATTTAACTTTGGTCCATGGCCTCGAAGGTACTCTTTCTGAAGGTTCAAAGACTGGTTCACATTGTGTAATTCACTTAATGGGTGTCTGCCTGCACACCCACGAAACAGGGATAATAAAAATTGCCCTGTATGGGTACATGTTTTTGCCCGTTACTTTTTTTTTTTTTTTTTGAGACAGAGTCTCACTCTATTGCCCATGCTGGAGTGCAGTGGTGCAATCTCAGCTCACTGCAACCTTCGCCTCCTGGGTTCAAGTGATTCTCCTCCCTCAGCCTCCTGAGTAGCTGAGATTACAGGTGCCTACCACCATGCCCAGCTAATTTTTTTTTGTATTTTAGTAGAAATGGGGTTTCACCATGTTGGTCAGGCTGGTTTTGAACACCTGACCTTAGGTGATCCGCCCACCTCGGCCTCCCAAAGTGCTGGGATTACAGGCGTGAGCCACCATGCCCGGCTGCCCATTACTTTTAATGGGAAAAGCCACAATTACTTTTGCACCAACCTATTATAATGAAATAATATAGGTAAAAGTGCTTTCATAACAGAAAATAATGTATAAATGCAAAATATTACTATTAATTTTTTTTTAAATTTTAGTATTGGAAATTTGGTGTTAAGAAACTCTTTTGGCTGGGCACAGTGGCTCATGCCTACAATGCCAGCACGTTAAGATTTTAGACCTTGTCTCCAAAAAAAGGATTTTAACTGAGGCAGGAGGATCACTTGCGGCGAGGAGTTTGAAACCAGTGTGGACAACATAGCGAGAACCTGTCTGTACAAAAAAATACAAAAATTAGATGAGTGTGGTGGTGTATGCCTGTAGTCTCAGCTACTTGGGAGGCTGAGACAGGAGGATTGCTGAGCCCAGGAGTTGGAGGCTAAAATAAGTTACGATCGCACCATTGCTTTCCACAGTCTGGGTGACAGACCCCATCTCTAAAAAATAAATAAACGGTAACAGAAACTTTTTTGATTACATGTTATGATCCACCAATTCCAGTTTCTATGTTTGATTACTTTCTTGAACAGGAGTACTGTATTTATGAATTTTTCTTGTACTTTTTTCAAGTTGGTAGTTTATAGTCAGATTCTACTGTACTCTTTCTGTTAAAATAGCTATGTGTTGGGCCAGGCACGGTGGCTCACGCCTGTAATCCCAACACTTTGGGAGGCCGAGGTGGGCGGATCATGAGGTCAGGAGATCGAGACCATCCTGGCCAACATGGTGAAACCCCATCTCTACTAAAAATACAAAAATTAGCCGGTCATGGTGGCGTGCGCCTGTAGTCCCAGCTACTCGGGAGGCTGAGGCACAAGAATCTCTTGAACCTGGGAGGTGGAGGTTGCAGTGAGTCAAGATTGTGCCACTGCACTCCAGCCTGGTGACAGAGCAAGACTCTGTCTCCAAAAAAAAGAAAAAGAAAAAGAAAAAATAGCTATGTGTCATTGGCCAGGATGACTATTTGGGCTCTGGGTCTGTGTTCTTGTCTCTCGTCTAGATATCCACAGAGGGCTCCAGGAGTTCCTACTTCCATCCTGCTATTCTACTTTTCATTCTGAAACTCAAACCTGTTGCCATTCCATTACTGAAAAACCATCAGTGGCTCCCTGTTGCCCCCGAGTTCCATGGCAGGCAAAGCCTTTCTCTGCAGCCACATCTCCACCTCCTGTTCTGTACCCTACTATGTACACACTCCTCCCCAAACCTTTTCTCCCCATGCCTGACTTATCTGAGGTCCACTTGGACTGTTTCCCTGCTTTCCTGGCCACACAGTTAATCACTCTTCTATCTGTGCCCCCAAAGTGTTTTCATTAAGGATGAGACCTTTTTTTCTCATGAGCTCCTCAAGGGTGGGGACTGTATCATTTCTGTCTCCTTTTTTCTTTCTCAGTTCCTGACATTTAGTGGGAACTCCGTAAATACCGTCTGAATGAACAAATATCTAAAATCTGAGGCTCTTGAAGTAAGTCCATCCTCGGATGGATGGTTTATACTTGGAGACTTGCTTTTGCTTCTCTGTGAATGCATGCTCAGCTGAGATCTGCTGGTGCAGGTGTTTCTATAGCTTCCTTAGCAGTGGTGGGAAGCCCAGCAGCTTAAGATGTTAGCTTCTGATGCAGGGTTTACTAACTCTCCACGTACTCTGTCCCTGAGTTTCTGTTTATTGTTTGCCTGTGATTCTCTTTGGTGCCATCCCACACGGTGTTGTCACAACCAACCCTTTGTTTTAATTGAACGTCCTGCGCTACTCCTGCTCTAACTCTGACTAGCTTTTTGTTTTTGTGTGGTCCAGGCTCGACTGTGACTTCTTCCAGAGAGAAGCTAGAACAGCTTGATAAATTTGGAAAGGTCATTCTTAGATAAGACTTGGGATTTATCTGAAGGTTGTTATTATTTGTTGTAATTCTCAGAACAGCTAACACTCCATGAACCCTCACTAGGTGCCACGAAACACGTTAAATGAAGTACATGAGATGGTGTTCCTAAACAACCACTATGGTGGTGGTATCATTATTATAATTTTATGGTTATAATTATTCCTATTTCACAGTGGAGGAAATGTTTCTTAGTAAGGTGCACATGTGAACGTCTAGCCTTGGGTTTCAAAGTCTGGTATGTTTGACTCCAGAGCCCTAACTCTTAGTTCTGACTGTATCCTACATTCTTATCCTTTGCTGAGAGTGAAACTTAGAATTGGGTATCACTCTGTTTTTTACAACTGAGTTTACTCTGTCTGTGAAGGCCGCAGCGTAAAGCCAGTTGTGAATCATGCACATCAGCTCCTTCTGAAATGTGTTTATGGCCTAGGACACAGGGACCCTGGAGACTATGGTGCTGCAGTGCATTATGGCTGCTACCCTTCTAGTCTGTCCTGCTGCTCGTTCTGCCACCTGCCAGCTGTTGCTACCTGAACCTTCTCCTTGCAGCAGTTCTCAGTGTTCTCTTTGCTTGGGAATTGCCTGGGGAGCTAAAAAAAAAAAAAAAAAGCCAAGCCCCACCTCCAGAGGTTCTAATTCATTTGTTTTAGGTTGGGGTCCAGGCATCAGTATTATTATTTTTGACAACCTTATGAGGGGTGTGTGTGTATTTGTGTTTTTGTGGGGGACATGGTCTCACTCTGTTGCCCAGGCTGGAGTGCAGTGGTGTGATCTTGGCTCACTGCAGTCTCCACTTCCCAGGCTCAAATGACCCTCCTACCTAAGCTTCCTAAGTAGCTGGACTACAAGTGCTCACCACCATGCCCAGCTAATTGTTTTAATTTTTTTTTTTTTTGAGACAAGATCTTGCTTTGATGCCCAGACTGGAGTGCAGTGGCACGATCGTGGCTCACTGAAGTCTTGACCTCCTGGGCTCAAACAATCCTCCCACTTCAACCTTCTGAGTAGCTGGGACTACAGGTGTGCACCACCATGCCTGGCTAAGTTTTTTATTTTTTGTATAGATGGAGGTGTCCCTGTCTTGCCCAGGCTGGTCTTGAACTCCTGGACTCAGGTGATTCTCCCACTTTGGCCTCCCAGAGTGCCGGGATTACAGGCATGAGCCACTGTGCCCAACCTATGAGATATATTTTATAGATCATAAAATTTACCCATTTTCCCCTTTTATCTTTAGTTGGCTGCAATGTTTGTACATATTTATGGGATATAGAGTGATATTCTGATATGTTTACAATGTGTAATGATCAAATCAGCATAATTATCGTATCCATCACCTTGAACGTTTGTGCCTGTATTGTGAACATTCAAAATCCTCTTCTAGATTTTTGAAAATACACACTAAGTTATTGTTAGTCATATTCACCCTACAGTGCTATAGAATACTAGAACTTATTCCTCCCATCTAGCTATAATTATTTATCCCTATCCATTAACCTCTCCCTATCTCTCCTCCACCCTATGCTTCCCAGCCTCTAATAACCACAATTCTACTCTCTACTTTTATGACGTTATTTTTTTTGGCTCCCACATATGAATGAGAACATGTGGTATATATCTTTCTGTGTCTGACATATTTCAAAAAATGTCTCATTTTAAGTGTAGAACTCAATGATTTGTAGTAAATTTACAGAGTTGTGTAACCATCACCACAACCCAATTGTAGAACATTTTTGTCACCCCAAATGAGAGCCTTCATACTTCTTTACAGTTAATCCCCATTCCCCCCACCCCCAAAGCCAACCACTCATCTACTTTCTGCCTCTATAGATTCCCGTTTTCTGGCCATTTCATATAAGTGGCATCACCTGTATTATTTTCAGAGCCTCCAGGACTGTCATGTGTAGCTCTGGTTAAGAACCACTGTTACCTCCTAGATCTTTTTCCACTAGTTTTTATTTTTACTATTTTTCTGAGTGGCTCAGAAAACTCAATAGGCCCCTGCCAGGGCTGTCTCTTAGATAATCTGTGAGCTAAATGAGTCCTTGTAAGTTGGACTGAGAACTTAACATTTACAACCTGTTTTTATGGGGATGAGCTTGTCAAAGTCCAAATGTGCTGACCTAGTTTGGAAGGGAGCCTGCACAACCTGTCTTCAGACGCTGTGCACCTCCCCAGCAGCCATCAGTCACAGCACTGAGTCAGAGCCCAGGTGTGGAGGGAGCCCCTGACATTGTGTGGCCTGGCCTTGGGCACTTTTGCTTTAGACTTTTTGTGTGGCTTTTCAGCTCCTCCTAGCCTCTGGCTGCCTCACCAGAGCAGTAAACTGGACTCCTCCTGAGCTCCTTTCCCTTAGGCAGTAGCTCTATGTGGATGTACTGTCTGCATTGCAATATTTTGCAAAATATTTCTCACATATTTTTGCCTGCTTAAATGAGTTTTAAAATCTCAAACTCAGCTGCCTCCAGGTCCAAGCAGGTACCATGAGTGACTGGAGCAGGCTGGGGAATAAGGCACTTGGAATGCCTGAGAGGCCGTTGAGGTGGTTGGTGGCAGAAGGGAGATTTCTTTCAGATTTTGCTATAAGCAAGAATCGGTGGTGGAGCTTTGAGACAGGCCACGTGGTTAGAGCAGGGATAGCAAATAGATTCCATTTCATGTGCCAGAGGGGAAAAAGCCAACTGACCGAACAAAACGCTGCGTGGGTAAGCTTACATGTGCAGGAAAACGATAAACCTCAATTCAATTTAGGGTAAAATGTAACTGTTCATCTTAGTCACTGGAATTCAAATAATATTATCAAGATTAAGTTAAGATTGAGAAGGCTTTTATTGTCATTTAAAGTAAAAATTAAATGTTATAACCCTGTCCTAGAGAAGCTGTAAATACATGGGCAAAATACCATCATTTGGGGAAATAATGCAGAGTATAGAACTATTAGATCTATTTTTCCCACGTCATTGCCAAAATATTTTCTGTTGAATCATTTCCCCCCGTTAAGTATCCTTTTTCTTTTCAGTGTTAGGCATGGGAACAATTTTTTCCCAATAACATCCCTTTAGAGTTCTGTAAACTCTCTTACGGCTTTTAAACTGCTTTGTGGCAGGTATAACAAATTGCTTCATTTTTAAAGTTTCAGAGAGTCGTTTATTTTAAAAATCCAATTAAGTAGATTTTAGATTCCTTCCCAGAAATCTAAGACGACAGCTAATCTAATGAGATAAAACAGTAAAAACTCATTCAGTAGTCCTCCAGCTCACTATGAAATCAAACTATTGCATCCAAACTGGGCTCAGAGGCTCAGGTGGATTTTGTAAACACTTGTAACGGGAGGTGACAGTGTTGCACAAAATCAGATTCCCAGCAGAATGAAATCCACTGCCTAGCCCTGGGTGGGCTCTGTAATTTCACTGTGAATACAAATCATGTTGCATGCAGTAATGTTTATGTTGTTACCCTACATACAATATTCAGATCCTTGGTAGATTAGTCACAGTCTGTCTTATTTCTCAAAAATGCGTCAGATATTTCCTGGTAACTAGCATTGAAAATGAGCTCATTAAAAATTCTCTCCATGCTTCATTTTTTCATTTTAATTGACGTATCAGTCAGTGTGCAAGTGTAAAAGCCAGCAGAACAGTGATCTCTCATGTGAAATTGTAAACCAAAAACCAACAGCCCTGTGAGCCCAGAGGCAGTGGGAGCCATTGATGTTTGATGCTAGTGTTGGCGCCTCGGCCACATATTTGCCATCCTTGGGTTGGGGGTGCTCTTGGTGGTAGAAAGATGAGCCCCTGCTCTCAAGGCCCCAGAATGGCTGAAAGGATTGAAAAGGAGCAATTTGGCAAAAGTCTTGAAAAGCCAGCGTCTCTCAACCTCTGAAATGCAAGTTGGGAAAACGTAGAAATCCCCCTTCTGAGTAAGAAGAATTTGGATTTGGGAAGTGATTAAAAAGGATTGAAGTTTCATGGGAAAATGGACTTCACTTGTACATAGATCAGGGGTCAGCAAACTCTGGTCTGTGGGCTAAATGCGGCTGCTGCAGGCTCAGAATGGTTTTGGCATTTTTAAATACTTGAAAACATTAAAAGAGGAACAGTAGTTCATGACGTACGATAATTAGGCAAAATTCACATTTCAGTGTCCATAAATAAAGGTTTATTGGGGCACAGCCAGGTCCGTTCATTTATACAATGTCTGTGGCAGCTTTTGTGCTGCAGTGGCAAGCTGAGTCATTACATAGAGACAGTATGGTCTGCAAGCCTGAAATGTTTATTGTTGCTGAACTCTTGGGTAGAGAACTGTGTTTATTTAGGTCTTGTCCCGAAATATGTTTATCAGTAGAGACCAGAAAGCAAACAGTGATTAAAATACTTCAGTGTTTTTGAGGAGGTGAGTGGATGGAGGTGCGTAGGTGCAGGAGGGACATAACTTCTGATTTCTTCCTGTCACCAGTGTCACCAGCACTGGGCTGTGCCTCCGCATTTGGACTGAATTATCAGAGGCAGCCACCCCTGTTCATTTTGGCAGCTGCTGCTTGCCTATGAGGCAGAATGTCGAGGAAGAGAAAATACACCTCCAGCCCAGCCTCACCCATCCTCAAAGTGATTCTAAAAAGTTAGCTATCAAGGTTTGCACCACATCCTGCAAGAGTTACTAATAGAGACCTGGGGTTGGCCAGCATTTTCTGTAAATGGCTGGATAACAAATATTTTGAGCTCTGCAGGTCATACGGTGATGTCTTTCGCAACAACTCAGTTCTGCTGTTGAAGCTCAAAAGCAGCCATAGATAGCACACAAATGCATGAGCCTGGCTGTGTTCCAGTGAAACTTCTGTAATACACTGAAATGTGAATTTCATAAAATTTTCATGTGTTACCAAATATTATTATTTTGTTTTTTTCCAATCATTTTAAAATAACCATTCTTCTGAGCTTTCTGAACATAAAAAATGGGCGGTGAGCTAGATTGAGCCTGCGGGTATAGTTTGCTGACCCCTGGTTTAGATAAACTAAGTGTAGGCCTTGCTAGTCAGGCCCTCTGGGTTTGAATCCCACAATCCCACTTATTAGTGCTGGGGTCCTAGGCAAGTTACCTTTCAAGACCTCACTTTCCTTATAGGTAAAATGGGGGAAATAGTGGTTCCTACCCAATAGGGTTGATGTGAGAATTAGAGTAGATGTAAGTGCCAGCCCAGTGTCTGGGGCATAGAAAGCACCCAGCAAATATGGCTGCTACTGTTGGCTATTATGAAGGCTCAAGTAGATCCCTACAGCCTTGGAGGAACCGTTTGTGATGTGGAGGTTTGACGGTCTTCAACTGTCTTCAGTCCACAGTTCAATTAGATTGAATATGAGGCTGGAGGGTTTGGTGGTGCTGCCTTGCTTTCGTGCAGTTAAGTAGAACATGGTATATCCACAGAATAGGTTAATGTACAGGCATAAAAAGGGAGGTGGTGGAGTTGTACATCTGTATTCTGACGTGTAAAAATGCCCCTCGTGTCTCTATCTACCTGTGTGCATCTGTGTGTGTGTGTATGGGTGTGCATGTATGTGTGTGTACGTATGTGTGTGTATGTGTGTCCTTTGAAATCAGCACTTCTCAGCCTTGGCACTGTTGACATTTGGACCTGAAGTAGGCAGAATAATGCTCTGCCCTCCCGAAACATGTCCAGATCCCCATCTCCAGAATCTCTGAATGTCTTAGATTACATGGCAGAGGGGGACTAAGTTTGGAGATGGGATTAAAATTTCTAATCAGTGGAAAGGGAGATTAGCCTGGACTAGCCAGGTGGGCCCAGTGTAATCACAGAGGTCCTTAGCAGTGGAAGAGGGAGGTCGCAGAGTCAGAGGAAGAGGTGACTGTGGCAGAGAGGCCCAGAGTGAACCATACTGGCTTTGACAGTGCAGGAGGAGGCCAAGGAATGCGGTAGACTCAAGAAGCTGGAAAGGGCGAGGAAGCAGATGCTCCCCTTGCATGTCCAGGAAGGCATTCAGCCCTGCTGCCACCTTGATCGTAGTCCAGGGAGACCTGGTTGGAAGTGCTGAACTCAAGAAGTGTGATATAATATACTTGTGTTGTTCAAGCCACTGAGTTTGTGGTGATTTGTTACAGCAGCAATAGGAAACAAATCCAGGGCTGGATCATTCCTTGTTCATAATTCTTTATATTATTTAGTGTGTGTGTGTGTGTGTGGGGTTGCATTTAGGATAGTCAGTAGCATCCTGGCCTCTAGCCTACAGAGACCAGTAGCATCTCCCATCATGACAACCACAAATGTCCCCAGACATTGCCAAATGTCCTCTGGGGACACAGTTGCCTCCAGTTGAGAAGCACTAGTTTAAATTTAGAAAACAAATTGGGAAGGATATATAACAAATTCGTAACAGTACCCTTTGGGATATGGGATTGGAGGAATGGCTTTCACTCCTCTTTTAACATAAAATTTTTAAAACTGGATTTTGCCTCCCCCTACAGACATTTTTTTTTTATTTTCAACTGTGGTTTTTTTTCCCATTTTATAAAAAGATTAACCTTGAAAGGTAATATCACATTTCAATTTTAGTCATTATGGATTTTACTGTGGAAGGCAGTTCTATACACCTATGGCTGCTTTTCAACCTAGTTTTATTGGATTTTGTTTGACATTGTGAATGTCCTTTTTCCCAAAGATGTGATAGACATCCATTCATTCATTCAGTGTGTATTTCTTTTTTTTTTTTGAGACGGAGTCTTGCTCTGTCGCCCAGGCTGGAGTGCAGTGGCGCAATTTCAATCTCAGCTCACTGCAAACTCCGCCTCCCGGGATCACACCATTCTCCTGCCTCAGCCTCCCGAGTAGCTGGGACTACAGGTGCCTGCCACTGCCTGGCTAATTTTTTTTTTGTATTTTTAGTAGAGACGGGGTTTCACCGTGGTCTCGATCTCCTGACCTCGTGATCCGCCTGCCTTGGCTTCCCAAACTGCTGGGATTACAGGCGTGAGCCACTGCGCCCGGCCTCAGTATGTATTTAAGTGGCAGGAAGGTGCTGAGCTTGCCGCTGGGGAGGAGTGATGACTTTAGAGCTCTCTCTCTGCCCTCATGGAACCTGCTGTCTAGCAGGGAGGAGGACGGTAGTGCTCATTGTTTGGAAGACCACAGCCTGCATTGATCGCGGGGACTTGAGCATTCGTGTCCATGGTTTGGGAGTCCCTGGCTCCCATAGTACATGTTTTATGAAGGAAACTACCAGAAATCCATGATTAGAGATGGAAAATATCAGACCAATTGGAAATTTTCCTTTGACTCTCACCTGGTCTGAGCATCTTCTGTCTTTTTGGTACAGTGAACTACTCCAGATTGAAAACATTTCTGTTTTCTCCTTGCCTGGCAAGTGAGCTCAGTGAAACATCCTATTAGCCACACTGCAGGGTTGGACATTGCCACACCAGGTCAAGGGAAAGTGGCACTATGAAGGCCTGGGCAGCACTGCTGCTTTGAGAATTACGAGGAGAAAATCTGTGCTTTACCAAAAAGTAAATTAAAGATCCTGCCTGGTATCAGCCTTGCTTGAGTGACTAGTAAAATTGCAGAATAGCTTCATAGGAAAAAACAAACCCCAGAGTAAAATGGCGAGTGGGAAGTTCCTTCCTGATTCGTATTGTTTTTCCAGTTGCAGACAGGAAACATTCAAGTGTGTTTTCAAGCCCAGAACGTTGGACACAAAGAAGGCTCTGACAAAGCAGAAAAAACCCATATACAAAAAGTTTAGGAACATGGAGCAAAATGTCTGATTCAAAACAATCTAGGCTGGGCGCAGTGGCTCACGCCTAGCACTTTGGGAGTTGGAGGCGGGAGGATGGCTTGAGCTCAGGAGTTTGAGACCAGCCTGGGCAATGTAGTGAGAATCCATCTCTATAAAAAAAATTTTAAAAATTACCTGGGCATGATGGTGCGCATCTCTCGTCCCAGCTACTTGGAAGGCTGAGGTGGGAGGATAGCTTGAACCTAGGAGTTCAAGGCTGCTGTGAGCTGTGATCAGGCCACTGCACTCAGCATGGGAGGTAGAGCAAAACCTTGTCTTAAAAAAAAAAAAATCTGGCCGCGTACGGTGGCTCATGCCTATAATCCCAGCACTCTGGGAGACCAAGGCAGCCAGATCGCTTGAGCTCAGGAATTTGAGACCAGCCTGGCCAACATGGTGAAACCCTGTCTCTACTAAAAATAGAAAAATTAGCTGAGCGTGGTGGTGTATGCCTGTAGTCTCAGCTACCTGGTAGGCTGAGGTGGGAGTATCACTAGAGCCCAAGAAGCAGAGATTGCAGTGATCTGAGATTGTGGCACTGCACTCCAGCCTGGGTGACAGAACGAGACCCTGTCTCAAAAAAAAAAAAAAAAAAAAAAAAAATATATATATATATATATATATATATATATATGATTTATCAAGTATTATTTTTTATGATTGGATCACTTTGTCTACTGTTTTTTTTTTGTCTATAGATGTCTTGACGAATTCAGTCTCTTGCCCCCTGCCTTGCTTTAATAAATTACAAAAACTCAACCAAAGATAACACTTCTCAGAAAAAACCAGCACATTTCTGTGGCCTACGTACATGGCCTATTGAATGGCCTATTGAATGGGCACCTTGGCCGATAGTGGAATAATTGCTGGACTTTCCATATCTCTGGTAAAGGTGAACACTGCAAAACAGTTCACGATAGGAAGCACCAAGGCTTGGACCAGTCACAGTGATGAGGGAGATCAGGTCATTTGGACCACATTATTGGAATAGATGGAGACAGTACCAAGGCCTGAAAATTAAGATGGAGAGTCCACAGGCCAGCAAAGAATCTTTGTGTGAGGGAGCCATTCCAGTTTGTGTATTATACTCCATAGTCATGATTTGTCACTTAAAAGTAATTCTTCCCAATTATAGATCACTTTTAATCTCTAGTTGGGTTTGGATTTTTTTCTACACATTTTTTTTTTGTTTTTTTGAGACAGAGTCTTGCTCTGTTGCCTAGTCTGGAGTGCAGTGGCACGATCTTGGCTCACTGCAACCTCCGCCTCCCAGGTTCAAGCAATTCTCGTGCCTCAACCTCCCAGGTAGCTGGGACTACAGGTGTGTGGCACCACATCTGGCTAATTTTTGTATTTTTAGTAGAGATGAGGTTTTGCCATGTTGACCAGGCTGGTCTTGAACTTCTGACCTCAAGTGATCCACCCACCTTGGCTTCCCAAAGTGCTGGGATTATAGGCGTGAGCCACCACCCCCAACCTCTAAAATTGATTTAAAAAAAAAAAATCTAAGCCTGCAAATCTAAAATTGATTTTATTAATGTAATATATATATAGCCTCCACAAACACAGGAAACAAAGGGGAAATTTCTTTTTAAACAGTACATTAACATTTTCATATAATATATTCAATATAGTTTTCAGCCTCCAGACCTTTTCATGTAAAGTACCTCTAAAGCAGAGGGTCCAGTTAATTTGAAAAAAATGGCTGGAAATACACTGATTTTCTTTACATTTTAGATACTCTGAGGTATGTTTTCTGTTGTGCATTTGTAGAGCTTGACATTGGACCAATTCTTTAAGTTAGGCACACTTCACCCCTGGCCATATCAATCAAGCATGCTACTTAAAAGTGTAAGTAACATGCTATTTTTAAAAAACCTCAAAACTGTGATTCATGTAGTTTAAAAAGTCAAATAATATAGTAAAAGACTTACCACAAAATACGGTGGGTTCACTCCCTACTCTCTGAGATTTCCCAACTCCAGAAGCAACTACTTTGAAATATTAACAGTTTATTGTGACATTTATTCATATTCATAATTATAAGTAATATGTGTAAACTATCGTTTGGGTTATCAAATTAGTTACTGTCTGTTGACTTTCTGTTCTGATAAATGAGGGTTTAGGGCCCTTTCCCTCTGCTTCTGCTCCCCCCATCCTTTCAATACAGTTATAATTTTTCATTGTATTACTATTTGATATTTATATTATGTCCAATCAATTATTTGCAGCTGAGCATACTAGTTACTATGACTATCTTTATGTTTCCAGTGGACTTTTTGTTTTTCCTGAAGTTAATACTTGCCTCGTTTTTATGTTTGCTTTATTTTCTTTGTGGCTGTTGCAGCACTGTGCTCATAACTGTTTAACAACTGCCAAGCTCCTATTTGAATTGTTTGCAGTTGTTTATGTTTTTGATTTCAAGTACCAGTGTGAGGTTACTGAGCAAGGAGTTGGGAGAAGATGCACATGGTTGGTTGGTCTGAGTTGGCTCTAGCATACCTCTGAGCTATTACTAACTTTCCCACATCTGCTTATAGCCCACATTGGGATTGTAGAGCAAGTTCTTCTCTTCTTCTGTTATTTTTTAAAAAATAATTTGCTCTGAAAAAGGACATATTTGTTCTGATTCTCAGGTTGAATCTCTTTTTTTGAACTTGTGAAAATTTTAATAGGCCTTGAGACTTCTCTGTGTATACTCGTACTTACAGAAGGAAGTCATTTTAGAGTTGAGGTGGATTCTGTGAGAGGTATACAGGGCCCTGTCCAGATTTGGGGGTTTTGGCTAGGGAAGAAAGGCAAAAGTTACCCATTCCCTGGTGGCATTTTGCTAAAGGAGGGATGAGGCATTGGCGAGAGGAATGGGGGCGTCTAATGGTGAAACTATGACGATCTCATGCCAGGTGTGTTCTTGCTAGGCTGACTGTCAGGTTTCTTTTTGAGTCTGGTTCTTTGACCTCATGGTCAGCTGGGGCCCTGCTTCCCTTCCCTAACTGGTATGACTACCTGTGTTTGGCTCTTCAGCAATGCCTGGCACCTTGCTTGCCAAGCAAGGTCTAGGGTAGCATATGTTGGCCTGTTGCTGGTGGAACCTTTTCATAGAGTTGAAAATTGGCTGCCTCTGGAAGCTGGGGCCTTGGCTTTGTCTCTAGGCCCTGATCCTCTGGCCCTGGGAAGTATTTGAGTCAGGTCAGCATTCCAGTTTCCTGCAGAAACTGGTGAGTGAGCCACCCTGTAGGCATCTCCAGGTTGACTGGGACAGTGCCATGATGACAAGTGTTAGAATCCCCCATGGCAATGCCCTGTTCTGGCTAACGTGCCATTGCCTTAAGTGTAGACTGGAGGAGCTGTGCGCTTCTTTCCCTTGCCCACAGTTGGCACTACTCTGAGCTTAGCAGCATTTCGAGGTCATTCTAGGGGTCTCATTTACTTTCTGGCCCAAGAGCTTTTCCTGCTCTTGCATTGGTTCCCGGCCAAGATCATACAATCCCTGTTCTGAATTTCCGGTTCATTGACAGCCTTCCCCTGACTCCCTTCACTGTTCAGAGCTGAAACATACTTTTTCTTTCTCTTTTAAAAATTTCCTTCACGCCAGGCGCGGTGGCTCACGCATGTAATCCCAGCACTTTGGGAGGCCAAGGTGGGCGGATTACTTGAGGTCAGGAGTTCGGGACCAGCCTGGCCAACATGGCAAAACCCTGTCTCTTCTAAAAATACAAAAATTAGCTGGGCGAAGTGGCACGTGCCTATAATTCCAGCTACTCGGGAGGCTAAGGCACGAGAATCGCTTGAATCCGGGAGGTGGAGGTTGCAGTGAGCTGAGATCACACCACTGCAGTCCAGTCTGGGCAACAGAATGAGACTCTGTCTCAAATAATAATAATAATAATAATAAAATAAAAATTATTATGGTCTGACAGTTGAGACTCCGCCAGCTCGGAATGCCCCCTTCTGATTGCTGGCCACCGTGTTGGTTTAATGGAAGGGTTGATGAAATTAGTAGTAGTTCAAAGCATAGCAGAGAAAGTTGTGGAAACACTTAGTTTCTTTTCAAAGTAAGGATGGAGAGGAAATTTGAAGGAGGAACTAATTGTTATTGTGTGTGGTGGTCTAGGCTTGCATCTTTGCATAACGTTTCTGGTTGTGAACTGAAGTTTAAGCTTCTGTAGAACAGTGTTTTCTCAAAGCCATGTCTCTAGACCTCCTGCAATGGAATTCTGAGCAAGGAGTGGCTGTTAAAAATGCAGGGTCTATTGAATTAGAATAGAATATCCAGAGGGACCTGGGAAATGGCATTTTATATCAGCACCTGCTGCCCTTGGTGATTCTGTGCCTGCTCAAATTTGAGAACCACTACTCAGGATCATTTGTTCTTGTTTTGGGCTGCTATTCCCCACAAAGTTTTGCTTAGTTATTTTTCTTTGGTTTTGCTTAAATTGCTCTCTGATGTAAAAATTGGTAAACTGCCCCTGCCAACCCTTCTAAATTTATTTCTGCCTGTTTTGCTTTAAACTCCAGGCTAATAATTATTAAATTTTAGGAGTTGCCTTTCATTTTTGGATTTCTAACTCTGAATTTTTAATTTTTCCCACAGAGCTGAGAAAACAGAAGTCCTTAGTGAAGATCTATTACAGGTAACAAAATATAGTCTCCTTTAAATGATCTGTTTAAAGGATGGAAAAAAATTCCTATGTGAGAATTGAGGCCTGTGGGCTTTTTTTTTTTTTTTTTTTAACCAGAAACAGAATAAAATTAATTAGTGTGATTTTGAGCAGGAAAGAAAACAGTTTTGTTGCATGATGATGAAAAGGGGATCTGAAACCCAGCTACCTGGGTTCGAATCTCACGTCTGCGCTGGTTAGCTTTGTGGCCTCAGGGATTTACTGAACTTCCCTGCGCCTCAGTTTCCACTTCTCTAAACTGAGGGAAAGGCCTTATCCACCTCACAGGTTGTTAGGAGGGTTTAATGAGTTAAGCAGGAACAGCACTGGGAACGGAGCCTGGCACGTGGTAAGTGCTAGATATTAGTGATCTATTATTATTACTGCCACTGCAAGCCACAGAGACTGTCTGTTTCTGACGTGAAACATCCCTTGATTTGCCCTGTGTTCTTCTGCCTTTTTTTCAGTCTCTGTTAGAGCAGTTGTGTGGCATTTCCCCAGGGGGCTGTGCATCCCAGCGGGGCAGAACCAGCATTTATTTGCTGTTGATTCTTGAATACCTTGCACAGGAACTCAGTAGACATGGGCCCTCTCAACGAATATTAAATGAGCACCTTCTGTTTCTGTGAAAGATAACGTCCCAGGCACTGGGAGAAATCAGTGAACAAAACAGATCCAGGCTTCTGTCCTTGTGGAGTTTACATTCTAGTGGAAATTGGAATCAAAATTAAATCATGGAATTTGTTCATTTTTTGCTTTTCTCTGGTGGCAAATGAATGTGGATTAGTTTTCTAATGTTTGAAAATCTGGTCATTGCAAGATTTGGGGAAGGTAATGTGGAATCTGCTCCTAAATCTCCCATTGCCTGCCAGCCCTGAGTCCTGGGGCTATGGGCTTGGATCTGAAGAAACGCTGCCCTTTTGAGAAAGAGGCACAGACCATCTCGATGCGTAAAATGGTTTGGGGTCAAATGTATTCTGTTTTGAATTTGTTGATTTATCTTTAAAATAGAAAGCATCCCAAAGGGCCTGCTCTCATTCTTCATGAGTCATCAGAATACACATTTTTGGCATTCCTTCCTGTAAAAAGCGGCTCTCTTTGCCATAAACAGCCATATTCTAGCAATAGTATTTTGGGAAGCTGCTTATGATGCGTGGGTCCCCTAAGTCAGTGTTTCTTATTGCTGACTGTCCATTCTGCTTTAGAGGTTTATTTAAAACACACACACACACACCCCAAACCCAATAAGGAATAATTTTGAAAACACAGATCTTGCAGTTAAATTGTGGAACGTTTATTTTGCTGCTTCTGTCTGATGTACATTGTGTGGAAGGCTCAGTTGCCATGAACTGGAGAGAGCTCTTTGGCATCTCTGGTTTTTTCCAGTTGGCAGTGGGTCTGGGCCCGGATCATTCATTTTCATTTCTGCCTGGTCCAACCTGGTGCTTTTCTGGTGCTGTAGTGTGTAAACTGACTGGCGCCACTCAGTGTGATAGCAAGGTGTAGCCAAGATCATCCCTTTTCCCTGCATGTAGATTCAGCCATGCTTTTCCTACCAGCATGCAGACACCACAAAAGAAAGAGGATGAATTTGTTCTCTTTTGTCTCTGCCTTGTCAGATTGAGAGACGCCTGGACACGGTGCGGTCAATATGCCACCATTCCCATAAGCGCTTGGTGGCATGTTTCCAGGGCCAGCATGGCACCGATGCCGAGAGGAGACACGTGAGTATCAGATGTGACTCAGACCCACAGTTCCTGCGTCTCTCTGAGGCTTTTCAACCCCTGGATTGGTTGGTTGTCCTAAGTGGCATCAGTGGATCAGCCTTTGGTGACTTCTATCACCAAGCACGCTCATGACACCTGCGTGACCATAGCATTCTTTTGTGTTTAAGACATCGCTGGGCTGGAAGCCCTCCTTACACGGAATCTTCTCCAGGTGCTTTTAAAAGCTCCACGATCATGTGTCATTGATAAGAGAATGGCTGTGTCGGTTATGCATCTTTTGCTGGCAGAAAGCGGAAAGCCTGTCTTAAATTGACATTGAAGTAGAAGTAATGTATTGGTTTGCTAACTGAAAAGTCCAGAGGTTGGGATGGACTTGAGGTCAGGGTTTATCTAACATTTTAGTAATGTAATGAAAAACCCAGTTTCTTTCCTTCTCTCTCCTGTGCCCTCAGTGTCTGCTTTGTCCCTAGACAGGCATCCTCATGATGGCAAGTTGGCTATTGGCAGCTTCTATGGGCTGCTTGTTCCTTGAGTGTGGCCAGTGGGAGTAGAGAGCCTCTCTCCCAGTAGTTCCCCTCCCCTCCCCTCTCGCCTCTTTTTCTTTTTTCTTTTCTTTTTGCTTCCCTTCCCTTTCCCCTTTCCCCTTTCCTTTCCCTTCTCTTCTCTTTCTTTTCTTTTCTTTCCTGACAGGGTCTCACTCCATGACCCAGGCTGTAGTGTGGTAGTACAGTCACAGCTCACTGCAGCCTCAAACTCCTGGGCTCAAGAGATCCTCCTGCTTCAGTCTCCCAAGCAGCTGAGACCACAGTACACACCACCATGCCTGGCTAATTTTTTAAATTTTTTTGTAGAGATGGGGATCTTGCTTTGTTACCTAGGCTGATGTAGAACTCCTGGCCTCAAGCAGTCCTCCCACCTGGGCCTTCCAAAGTGCTGGAATTACAGGCATGAGCCACCATACTTGGCCCCAGTAGTTTTTCTTGATGGAGTGAGAAAGCTGCTTTTTCCAAGCTCTTGGCAGATTGAAAGCGCGTTCCATTGCATTGATTTGTGTGGAGTTACATTCCCCGTTTTTGACTGTTTCTGTTCCACCCTAGTTACCATGGATAGGGGGTGAGGTGGGGTGAGGAGATGGGATGTGCCGATTGGTTTAAGTTAGTTTGGCCCAGACCTAGAGCATGGGCTGTGGTCCTACTCCTAGCTCATAGACTTTATCAAGGCCAGGGTAGATCCCTGAGAAAAATCAGGATACTAGTATAGAGAGGAAGAGGGATGGACTCTAGGAGAGCCATCCGGTGTCTTTTCCAAGGTCCACTTGTTCAGAGCGTTCAGTTCCTAGGTAGAGCCAGTGGAGCACAGCAGCCTTTGTTCATGAGGGAGTTCCATCCTTGCTTTTACAAGTCCCCAGCTTATGAGCATGCGGTAAACCTTAGACCCCATGCAACATTGAAGTGACAGTTTCGGTGACACACAGGGAAGCTATGATTTGGTGTATTGTCACCAGGTGTCTCAAAAGTGAGAACTATTAATAGTATGCAGATGATCTGTGTTACCCTTTTATGTTTCCTACAGACTTTTATGGGGCACCCTGGCAGCAGGGTTTTTCCACTCTTGCACAACAGTGAGGATTCTGCAATCATGTCTGTCATAGGAATGGAAGTTTGCATACACCTATGCTTCCACACTTGCCTCAAAGCTCTGTCCCTCGGAACCAGACCCAGCCTACTGGTTCTGCTTCCTGGAGCTCCTTGTCCTTCTGTTGCCTTCTTCTGCTCTGCTTACCCTTTTCACATTGTTTCATTAAGTTCTCTGCTTCTCTTATTCTCCAAGTCATATTCTCTGGGCCACCTCCTCTGTTCTTATGGCTTCTAACTGATGTGTTTATGCCAGTGACTTCTAAGCCATTTTCAACCAAGCAAAAAACTTCCTCTCTTAGATGTCTATTCTAGCATGCATGATCAGTTCTTCCTTCTGTGTTGACTCTCTGAATTCCATCCACCCTTTTATGCAGGCTGGAAACTGGGGGGCTTTCTTATATTCCTTGTTATTTTTTATTTTCAAGACAGGGTCTCACTCTGTTGTCCGTGCTGGAGTGTAGTGGCACGATCCCGGCCCATTGCAACATTAACCTCCTGGGCTCAAGCCATCCTTCGACCTCAACCTTTAAGTAGCTGGGACTACAGGCTTGCGCCACCAAGCCTGGCTAATTGTTTGTTTGTTTTTTTCGTAGTAGAGATGAGGTCTCATCTGTTGCCCAGGCTGGTCTTGAACTCCTGGGCTCAAGCAGTTCTCCCGCCTTGGCCTCTCAAAGTGTTGGGATTACAGGCATGAGCTACTGTGCTGGGCCTCGCTTTTATTTTATCCTCCAAACCCCATAACTGCCTAATTAGAAAGTCCTTTGATTTCTCTCTGTGAATATTTTAAATTGCTCATCTCCATTGCATCTCTACCACCTTGGCCTTAATGCAAGACCTGACTCCCTCTCACCTGGACTGTTGTAGTCACCTCCTGAGCTACATTTCCTGTCTGTAATTTCCTTTCCAGTCTGTCTTCAACCTGATCACCAGAGTCAATTTCCTGAAACACAAATCAACCCTATTATCCTCCTGCCTAAAAAAAAAAATCTTGGCTCAGTGGTTCTTAACAGGGACCAGAATTACACCCCTGGGGGCATATGGAAATGTGTAGAGACAGTTCGGTCATCACAGGGACTGGCAGGCACCACTGGCATTTGGAGGGTGAACCGAGATGCTAAGCATTTTTTGTTTGTTTGTTTGTTTTTTGAGATGGAATCTTGCTGTGTCGCCCAGGCTGGAGCGCAGTGGTTGATCCCGGCTCACTGCATCCTCCACCACCCGGTTCAAACGATTCTCCCACCTCAGCCTCCCGAGTAGCTGGGACTACAGGTGCACGCCACCAAGCCTGGCTAATTTTTGTATTTTTAGTAGAGACAGGATTTCACCATGTTGACCAGGCTGGTTTCCAACTCCTGACCTCAAGTGATCCTCCCTCCTCGGCCTCCCGAAGTGCTGGGGTTATAGGCGTGAGCCTCCGTGCCTGGCCAAGATGCTAAATGTTTTGTAGTGCCTGGTGAAATAGTTCCACACAGGAAGTATCTTAATGTTAGAAGTGCTTCTTCTGAGGGACACTGGCTGGTTCCCATTGCCTGGGATAAAGTCCACACTCTTTAGATGACTTAAGCCCTTTCTCAGCTGATTCCATTTCTCCTTATCAGCTTCATTGTCTCCTGCTGCTTCCCGTTCACACCCTGTGCCAGCCACATAACACTCACCAGTCCCCAAATATGTCACTGTCCCTCACAGTTCTATCTAGTTCCTGTTGTCTTCCTTGAGACGCAGTCCAAGACATATATTCAATAGAAACAAATATTTATCAAACACCTACTGTGTACAAGTGCTGGAGATATAAAATGAATGAAATGTAAGTTTTCATGGTCTCATGGGGGAGATACATACAAATGGATCATTATAAAACAAGATGCTCAATAAAACATGCACAGGGTTTTATGGGGGGCCCAGAATGGGTACCAGAGGAAGAGGGAGGTAGTTAGGTGAGGCTTCCTGGAGGAGGTGGTGTCTGCCCTATAAAGGAGGGAAATTAGTGGCAGGTGGTGGGAATATTCCAGGCAGCTGGGGCAAAGTGCTTGGCCCTCATTTCTGAAACCTAATGCTTTAGCTTTCCTTTTCCAACGTCAAACGAAAGTGCCAAAGACAGGGCTTTGAGGATGCCTACACTTTGCACTTGGGAAGAGGAGTTACCACAACAATGGTGAGAGAAGACTAATATGGAGAAAATTGCAGCAGTCTCCAGGGCTCTAGAAAACACAGGAGGAACCTCCCAAAGGCCTCATAACATGCTTCCTGCATGGGAAGAGGCAAGAATAGAAGGGAAGAGAGAGACATGAGGCAGGTGACCTTTGCAGCCCAGCCACCATTGACATGGCAGAACTGTCGTGGGTCAGATAAGATAGATTATTAGATTAGAGAATTATTTCTTTTTGTGCGATTGGCATGCATTTTACAAATTAAGTCTTTAGAGCATTTAAAATTCATCCCTGGCCAGGCATGGTGCTGCACTCCTGTAATCTCAGCACTTTGGGAGGCCAAGGTGGGTGGATTGCTTGAGCTCAGGAGTCGATACCAGCCTGTGCAACATGGCAAAACCCCGGAAGTGGGTTGCAGTGAGCTGAGATCGCGTCACTGACCTCCAGCCTGGGCAACAGAGCCAGACCCTGTCTTAAAAAAAAAAAAAAATTATCCCTGATGATAGAAAGCTGTTCACCTCTAGGAAGCACGAAGCCCTCCCTGTGGAGGAGTTCAGTGTTGATACTTGATTAATGAGCCCATATGTTAAGCAGAGTTTCCTTATTTATGTACATAGGAAACAAGATTGTTGTGGCTTTGGGGTCAGGTTAGGGAAACCACAAAACTATTTACAGCTGCCATCTTGAGTGATGCTTGTCAAAATAGAGTTTTCTATTATTTTTTTTCCATAGACTCCTAGAGTTCCAGAGTTGCACAATATATTTGTCTTGATTATTGCATTGATCTTTAATAGGTATTTAACCTCCTTTAGAAAGGCAGCATAACCAAAAGGTAGGAATTATCCCCTATTATTCTCATGTCTTCCTTGTCCAGAAATGGGGCAGCTGGGAATAGTCTCCTTGTAGTGCAGATGGAGCCCATTATTTATTTATTTGAAAATAATTTTGTAGGAAGCCGAGGTGGGAGGATTGCTTGAGACTAGGAGTTTGAGACCAGCCTGGGCAACATAGTGAGACCTTGTCTCTACAAAAAATTTAAAAATCAATAATTTGGGGAGAGGGGAAATGAGTAAATGCCTCTGTTTATTTTTAAATTTCAGCTTACTGTTTTGAATAGGTTCTACATTTACACGGTCAAAATTCAGAATATACAAAAGAACTTACAGTGAAGTGCCTCCTAGCCCATTTCCCCAGGCACCCAGTTCCCTCCTCCAGAGCCCCTGCTCTTAGTAGTTTGTTGTATAGCCTTGCAGAGATATTCTGTCCAGTACAAGCCAGTGCATATGTGATTGTATCAGATGGAGCCCTTTGGAGGCAGAAGAGGCAAGTGACATGTCAGGGGTGGACCCTGTGTTTTTAACATGAATGCCCTTTCTGCTGGGCAGGTGAAATTACATGGGATGCTGCAGAATTGAAAGCATTTTTTTGTTAGCAGATTATGACGTTATAACCAGCCCACTTGTAATTGCCAGGCCTCTCCTGAGATAAGCCATTGGCCCGTAGGGAAGACACTGAACAGAGGCCCGGGCCATCAGCACTCAGGTCTGACTTTCCTGCGTCTCCCTGGGATGCCTGGCCAGGCCACTTGACCTCCTTCGGCTTTGGGTTCCTTGACTGTATGATTATAACATTAGATCAGGTGATTCTGTGGTCATTGCCAGCTGGAAAACAAATCTCTGATAGGAAAATGAGTGGCTTTGTATTTAAAAATATTACAAAAACTGGCTCTTTAGCTAGAAGTTTTTAGGTATTTAAATAAAGCTACATTTTAGAATGATAGCCAAATTAAGAGCCAGTTTAGACTGGGTGCGGTGGCTCATGCCTGCAATCCCAGAACTTTGGGAGGCTGAGGAGGGCAGATCACTTGAGGTCAAGAGTTTGAGACAAGCCTGGCCAACATGGCAAAACCCTGTTTCTGCTAAAAGTACAGAAATTAGCTGGGTGTAAGTGGTGCATGCCCATAATCACAGCAGGGGAGGCTGAGGCACGAGAATCACTTGAACCTGGCAGGCGGCGGTTGCAGTGAGCCGAGATTGCCCCACTACACTCTAGCCTAGGTGATAGAGCAAGACTCTGCCTCAAAAAAAAAAAAAAAAAGCCAATTTAAGAATGAGTGTTCTAGCAAAAGCTTTTGAAATTGAGCACTTCATTGCATTTACCTGTCAGGATAACCATTTAGAGAGCAAGGTCTATGTCTCTGTCATGTCCCCAGTGCCTTGAACATAGTGTGCTTTGATTCATTAATAATAATATGAACAGGCTGGGCGTGATGGTTCATGCCTGTAATCCCAACACTTTGGGAGGCTGAGGCATGCAGATCACTTGAACTCAGGAGTTTGAGATTAGCCTGGTCAACATACCCCATCTCTACCAAAAATACAAAAATTAGCTGGACGTGGTGATGCAGGCCTGTAATCCCACCTACTTCAGTGGCTAAGGCAGGAGAGTTGCTTGAACCTGGAAGGTGGAGACTGCAGTGAGTCAAGATCATGCCACTGCATTGCAGCCTGGGTGACAGACTCAGACCCTGTCCCAAAAAAACAAACAAAAATAATAATAAGCAGAACAACAACAACAGCAATAATAATAATAGCAGCTAACATTTACTGAATACTTACAATGTGTTAGGTACTTGATATGTTTTCTTTAGTCAACAGATAGCCCCAAACTGAAACAGAGATCATCATACAACTAATATCTGTGAGACCAGAACCTGAACCCAGACAGGCTGTCTCCTACCTGTGTAATTTGCCTGGAGGGAGAAATTAATGAATGATGATCTGAAAAAGATCATTGAGAATGGGTATCAAATAATGAGAAAAACACACACTGTCTTCTATCTTCCAGAAAAAACTGCCTCTGACAGCTCTTGCTCAAAATATGCAAGAAGCATCGACTCAGCTGGAAGACTCTCTCCTGGGGTAAGAGTTGCTGCCTTCAGAGTGCCAAGTGCCATGTAGATTGGTGGAAGTGGCTGGGCCAGGTGGTGTATGTAGGACCTGTGAGAGGAACTGTGAGCGTTGATGGCATGGCTCATCCGCTAGGAGACCGGCTGAGACTCCTTGGGAGAAAGTGGGGTCAAGGCCGCCAGGTTGCTGGAGAATCTTCCTTTTAGTAGGTGTCAGGCTGGAGTTGGATGGCAGAAAGGGCCATTAACAAAAAAGCAACTGATAGGGTCAATGCCTATTCCCCTAATCTTGGACAGAAAGAATGTGGTCCCTTCTGTGTTCCAGGTGTTGGCTCAGATTTAGAAACTCTGACCAGACCCTTTCAGTTCTTAGTCACATCGTTTACAGGCGGTCACCAAAACGTCCATGGTAGTTATCTAAAAAGAGTGTATTTTCTGAATTACTTGGATTTTTTTTTTTTTTTTACAATTGTCATGTATTCTTTAAATAATTTATATAAGTAAGAACAAAGCAGTTTTTATTGTAGGAGGGAAGGTATACCCTTCTGTCTGCTCCTGCAGCAAGGCTGGTGTTCTCTAGCCCTGTCTGCTCTCTCTGGCTGTGACATGGGCCCTGCTTCCCAGCAGGACGAGGCCTTCAGACTTTTCAGTCCATTTCTCAGCGTCTACAGTTATCTCGCTGTCCTAGAACAGTTTCCTCCCATTCGTCACCATTCCTTTCTCCTGTCTGCTTCCATGTTTGGGGGCCCTGGGAGGAGGGTGGCCTGTGCCCACCTGCCAGCATCCTCCTTCCCTCCAGCCTGGAAGTTTTTCCTGTTTGTGCTTCCACATGCTATGGCCATCCTCATCACACCAGAGTGATACTGCGTGCTAGCATGGTTATAAGTGTTTTCCAAGTAATAGCTCATTTAATCCTTAAAACAACCTAGGAGGTAGGTCATATCAGCACTTAGAACCATGTTAACACACAACATCACTCCCATTTTACAGACGAGGATACTGACAGAGAGGGCAGGGAAATTGCCTGAGACCCCACAGTGGGAGAAGAGCAAAGCCTGTATTCAGACTTGGGCAGCTTGGCACCAGAGAGCATGTTCCTGACTATGACACCATGGCCACCTCACACCAGGCAACGTGCATTTCTGGTGTCAAAAAAACCCCATAGAGAGCTTGCAGGGGTGGAGGGGAAGGAAAGGAGAGAGGGAGGAGGGAGGGATAGAGACTGTGGAGTTATATCACTGCACGTGTACTTTGTATGATATCAGCTGCATGTTCGCAAGCAAACTAAAAGGAAACATGATATTTATGTAACAGGGCCCTTAAGTGTTAGCCAGCTAGCTCATCTGCATAGCAGAAAGGGAGCCTGGCCAAGGCTGGACTCGCAGACATAAGATAACATGGAATGAACTTAATGTCTAATTTAAAAGATCTTCAGAGTATTTTGTGAACACTTGGCTTTCACCTGACTTGAGAATTTAATTCTTGAGTAATTTGTTATTTCACTGTTCACACATCTGTCTGCCACCCACACACACAAAGTGCATCCCTGAGACAGTCATTTTTATTTTAAAGCACAAATCTGTGGACTCATGTTTTAGGCAGTACCCTACATTTATAATATTTTCAAGGCTCGTTAGGTAGCACCCTAATGCGTTCCTGTTGTATGGCAAGCAGCACTGATCCACACGATAATCCAGTGCCTGATTTAATGAGCACGTGCTCGTTGTTGGGGGTCTTGTTTTTAAAGGAAGATGCTGGAGACGTGTGGAGATGCTGAGAATCAGCTGGCTCTCGAGCTCTCCCAGCACGAAGTCTTTGTTGAGAAGGAGATCGTGGACCCTCTGTACGGCATAGCTGAGGTGGGTGCTTCACCGTGCAGCACGGAAGAGCCGAGAGTGGTGTGGGCTGGACAGTGAGTGTTAAAATTTTAACAGTAGTTGCTGGCTTTAACATACACTTCTTTTTGGAAATAAGGGGAGTCAATTGAAGGTACAAAATCCTTTGCCTTAGAGAAAAAACGTTTGTAAATACTTTAAAATGGTTAACCTAAAAGCCCTGAAGTGCATCCCATTTGGTATGTTCTTATTTTTAGGTGGAGATTCCCAACATCCAGAAGCAGAGGAAGCAGCTTGCAAGATTGGTGTTAGACTGGGATTCAGTCAGAGCCAGGTAACAGCTTGAGCCAGCAATGCAGCATTGTGTCCCATTCCCACCACGGGGGAGAAGACCACTGACAGTGGACACAATGGAAGTGCTCACCAATTCGTGCATTTGACCCCCAGACTGGGTGCCAGCCTGCCAGCACCTCCTATAGGCCTTGTTCTCCCAAGCGTGGCAGTGGGGATGTTGTTAGAACATCCTGTTCTTAGTGAGCCAGCAGTGAAAGGAAATAATCTAAGGAAAATGAAGTGAGTATATTTAACGGAAGAGGGGATGGTGGCAGTTTTGAGAGCACAACTCAGAGTGTAGGAATAAACACATCTGTGGCCCTAACAGCTCATGAGGGTCCTGCCATGTCACAAACCCTGTGTACTTGTAATACCTTCAGTACCAAGGAAGGAGGCACTCACATGGCAGGAACTCATGTAAACCTATGTAGCCAAATCAGCGCTGCTGATGTGGGGACTGATGCCAGCGAAGGAGTCTGTCAGGATTCAGAGCAGGACTGCTGCCTCTGCTTTGTCCTTGATGGAGTTTTTTGGCTTTTTTTTCTTTCCTTTTCTTTTTTTTTTTTTTTTTTTGAGTCAAGGTCTTGCTCTGCTGTACCAGGCTGGTGCGATCATAGCTTACTGCAGCCTCAGACTCCCAGGCTCAAGTGATCCTTCTGCCTCGGCATCCCAGGTAGCTGGGACTACAGGCACATGCCACAGCTTGGAGATGGTGTCTAGCTGTGTTGCCCAGGCTGGTCTTGAACTTCTGGCCTCAAGTGATCCTCCCACCTTGGCCTCCCAAAGCGCTGGGATTACAGCCATGAGCCGTGGTACCTGGCCCTCAGTGGAGTTTCTATCAGTGACTTACATGGCTTTCTTCTCAGGCATGTGACAGTTGGGAATAGGGAAACAGGCACCACCAGCCTCAGTCCTGTTTCCTGCTTTATCACAAGGGTTGACAAACCTCTTCTGTAAAGGGCTGGATAGTAAATCTTTCTGGTGCTGCAACCCAGTTGCTCCCTGTTGTAACTGCTTAACTCTGCTGTTGTAGCATAAAGGCAGCTGTAGGCAATGCATACATGAATGAGCATGGCTGTGTTCCAATAAAACTTTATTTACAATGTGTACAAATCAGTTGTGAAGATGAGTCCTGATTTAAGAAATGTTGAGATGAGAAAAGGTATATTTAGGAATTCACACATGGTGAAGACTCTGCTAGTGCAATTATCAAGTAACTTACCTCTTGCCACATGCCAGAGATCGAGCTACTTTCATTTTATGTCAGCCCATTTGATTCTCCCAGCAATCCCTGTTCATTTGTTCATCTGTGTTTTCAACTGATATCAATTAGGTGCTCAGTGTGCACCAGACTTTGTGCTAGACTCTAAATGCATAGGCCTTTCCATGTGACTTGGAGGGAACAGGGTAGAGGTTAGTGTAACATTCCCTACTTTTGAGAGGAGACTTGTTTTACAGATAAGGGAGGGACCTGCATTTGTTATCTATATGACTTGCTTTGTGCCTTCAGGAGCATACATTGCAGTGTTAGGATTCTGACAGCAAAGTCCACAGTCTCCTGGTCATGTGTACATGTGATGTTCCCTGTCACCTGGGCTGGAGTGCAGCGGTGTGATCATAGCTCACTGCAACCTCAAACTCCTGGGCTCAAGGGATCCTCCTGCCTCAGCCTCTCGAGTAGCTGCACACCACCACACCCAGCTACTATTTTTTTTTTTTTTAAGATGGAGTCTCTCTCTGTCAACCAGGCTGGAGTACAGTGGCACAATCTTGGCTCACTGCAACCAAGGTGCTGGGTTCAAGCGATACTCCTGTCTCAGCCTCCTTAATAGTTGGGATTACAAGCATGTGCCACCACACCTGGCTAATTTTTGTATTTTTAGTAGAGATGGGGTTTCACCACATTGGCCAGGCTGGTCTCAAACTCCTGATCTCAGGTGATTTCCCTGCCTTAGCCTCCCAAAGTGCTAGGATTACAGGCGTGAGCCACTGCAACCAGCCCCAGCTTTTTATTTTTAGTAGAGACCTGGTCTCGGTATGTTGCCCAGGCTGGTCTCAAACTCCTGGCCGCAAGTAAATGTCTCTTCTTGACCTCCCACAGTGTTGGGATTACAGGTGTGAGTCATCACACCTGGCCTGTACGTGTGATTGGAATCCTGTGTAGCTGAGAGTGCAGGCCACCCTGCGATACATCTTTGCTCAAGAGAAGGAAAAATATTCTAATGATTAATTAAACAAGGCAGCAAATGCTCCCTCACTAGAGTTGGTTGAGCATTATTATAGATGTTTATCTGACAGGAGTTTTGCATCTTGAGTGCATGTATCTCATAGGTGATTTTAATACTGATTCTTGATCTTGCATTCATGGTCTTGTTCACTTAATCACAATAGGTGTTGGAGAAGCTGAAACAATTGAATATTTCCACTTTTTCTCATTCTTCTTGCTTTTCCCTGGAGAAAAAAATGGTAATAAGTAGGAATCCATTATATGCCAGACATCATATGCTGTGCACATGCACACATATTTTTCTCGCTTTTCCTCCTTATGACAGTTCCACAAGGCAGACAGTGTTTGTGATAGTTTTGTAGATGAGGCAACTGAGATGCATAGAGGCTAAGTCACTAACTAGGTCACATAACTAGTTAAGATAAAGCTGAGCTCCAAACTTGAACATGTCAGACTCTGAAATCTATGCTCCTTTCACAATATAGCATCTCCAGTTTAGCTTTGGCTGACTTGCTGAAGCCTTTTGGTGGAGGAGTGTGTCACGTCAGGAACACAAAGTGGGCAGAACATAGCATTTTGGGGCACTGCAGCAGTCTAGAAAGTTTAGTAAGTAGCTAACATGTTTTTTGGGTTTTTTTGTTTGTTTGTTTGAGACAGGGTCTCACTCTGTCCCCAGGCTGGAGTGCGGCGTTGCGATCTTGGTCTGGGCTCACTGCAAGCTCTGCCTCCCAGGTTCACGCCATTCTCCTGCCTCAGCCTCCCAAGTTGCTGGGACTACAGGCGCCTGCCACCACGCCCAGCTAATGTTTTGTATTTTTAGTAGAGATGGGGTTTCACCGTGTTAGCCAAGATGGTCTCGATATCCTGACCTCATGATCCGCCCACCTCGGCTTCCCAAAGTGCTGGGATTACAGGCGTGAGCCAACGCACCCGGCCAACGTGGGTTTTCTTGCTGCATTTTATAACATCTATGTTTACATTTAAAGTGATAGAGTTTTCCACAACACCAGACATACCCATTTTCAAACAGAAGGTCAAAGCACATTTGAAAATCAAAACAAATTGTTTTCTATGATTATTTCCCACTTTTCCCCTATTATTACTATAGTTTCTTTTTTTTTCTTTTTAGTGCTTTCATAGCTATTGATTGATACCTACATTATTATTGTTATTGTTGTTTGTAGACATGGAGTCTTGTTGTGTTGTCCAGGCTGGTCTCAAACTGCTAGCTCAAGTGATCCTCCCACCTTAGCCTCCCAAAGTGTTGGGATTACAGGCGTGAGCCACCGCACCCAGCCTCATAGCTACACTATTGAAGTTCTGGCTTTTACTTTCTGAAAGTAATCCCAGGTCACAGATGGTAGTATGGTAGTGGAAAGAGCCACAAGGAGTTCTCAAAAGCAGGAGCTGATTCCCAGTGGCACAGGGAACATTTCAGCTCAAAGCAAGAGAGCAAGGAGAGCACCTTGCTCTCCTCCGGTGGCAGGGATTCCATGGTTGGCCACCACAAGAAAGGGGTTCCATGGATTTCTCTCCAGTAGTAGAGTTTGTGTGAGACAAGATGTGGTTGGTTATGCTCAAAGCAGACCACTACTCCTAGCACTATGAGAGTCCTGTCATGGTGAGAAGCTAAAGTCTCCTTTTGCCTGCTTCCATTCTTAGAGAATAAGCTCAAGAGAATTTGGCATCCTGGGCAATGATACCCCTTCCAGGTAGAATCAATTGTGGGGAAGGATCTATCTCCACCAGGTCCTGCCTCCAGCTGTTGAGTATACACAGCTGGTTCTCAGATGCTGGTGACCCCTTTGTTTTGCAGGTGGAACCAAGCTCACAAATCCTCAGGAACCAACTTTCAGGGGCTTCCATCAAAAATAGATACTCTAAAGGAAGAGATGGATGAAGCTGGAAATAAAGTAGAACAGTGCAAGGTATGAGAATTCCTTGATAAATGTATCTTTTCGGTTTTTGCAAATGAGGGATGAAAGTTCAAATGTAAGTTACTTAATGTTTTAAATAATTTCTATCAGAATATTTTGAATGATTTTAAAGGTAGGTTTTATTTTCTTCTTCTCTAAGACTATATTATTTTATGATCAGAATAAAACATTTTAAATTTCAAATAGGATATTTTTAAAAACTTGACAAGATGTCTAAGCTTATTTAAAGATGAAGTCAGAAAAAAGGAAAGAAAACCATAGCAAAACATATAATAAAATTACAGCGATTAAAAATGCATAAGAAATACAAAAGTAAGAAAAAAGAAGTAAAACTGTATAAGAAGCATTAAAATAGATCAGTGAAATAGTATAGGTTTTCTGGAATGAATGCTATAATGTAAAATTTAATATACAGTAAATGGCTCATATGTCCTTGGAGAAGATAAGGATTACTTTTAAAATGTTGCTTGAACAATTGGTTTGTAATTTGGGAGAAATAGAGCTTTTTATCTCATAAATTACAGATTAATTAGATGGTCAAGTGATCTCATTCTCTCTGCATCCACCTGTGTAGATAGATGTTCATTCTGAATGTTATTTGAGGTGAAATTATTTGAAATGGTAAAGGAATAGGTCTTCGGGGAGTCTTGACAATCTAGAGTCTTAAGTCTGGATTGACTTAGACTTTTCCTGCTCTTATTTTTCATTGTTTTAAAAAAATTGTTTTTTTATTTCCTGCTAATATTAAGACTGTTATATTTTAGTTCATTTAGGTCATGACATACTTTGCTTTTCAAAATAGCAAACCTTGATCAGTTAACTGCAATTAAATGACTTGTTTAAAATAATATAGTGGGTAGAAATATAAGAAAAATATAAAAATAATATAGTGGGTAGAAATTAAAACTAAACTCACAAAGTTATGCCTTTGTTTTAAAAAGTTTTTATGTTTAAAAGATGATATTCAGATAAATGCTTCTACTAAAATAATGTCACATTGGCTTATTTGTGGTCTGAAGAGTTGTAGCTTTGTCAGTGTCATTTACCCAGCAGTCTTCTTAATATCTGGTCTAACCTAGATCCTGGCTATTGCCTACTTATTGCACACAAATTTGGGTAGAGGTTTAGGAAGTCATCATGGGCTGATGTCTGTTCTCTCAACTTCCACACTTGTCAGTATTTCAAGTGGTAAAAACTTAAGAAAATATTTTCTGCCTCCTTCTCTCTCTATGCATACCTTGTGGGTAATTTCCTCAGATCTATGTTCTGTTTCACTGATTCTCTCTTTAGCTATGTTTGATCTGCTACTCAAATAACACTGAGTTTTTAATTTCATTGACTATATTTTCCATTTCTGAAGTTCTAGTTATTCAAATCTTTTTGATACTACATTATTCTTTTCTAGTGTTTCTTTCTTTTAAGTCATTTTAAACATACTTATTTAATAATCTCTGTTAATTCTGTTTTCTGAAATTCTCTGTGAGAGTGGTAGGTGTCTGCTTGTGGTGGATTATTTCCTCATGTGTTTTGTAATTATTTGAACTCATTTTAAGAGGGGCTTTATCTGTGGGACTATCAGGGATTGGGAATGAGACTTCCCAGAGAGTATTACCAGTCCAGGTCCATTTTTAATTAAACTTAAATCAGTTTGGGGTTTCTGGGACCACATGTCAGTAAATTTAAACTTTAAACCCTCCTGAAAGCAGGCCTATGTTTTGTGAAATCTCTTGGCCAATGTTTCTCAGACCTAAAGCCCATTCCAAAACAGACATACTTCCCCATGATTTCCATGTGATGCTAAGTGCATTTGTTCTAATCTGTTGTTTCGTTGAGAGTACAGTTCTTCAGGAATCTTATCTTTATGCATGATATATGTGTACTTGTTTCTCCTTACTAGTCCCCAAGGCTTCAGACACCTTGGTCACCAAGACTGGCACAAATCTGCCCCAGGTCATCTCCAGCTTCCATTGATGCTTAGCATTCCGACTTTTTCTTTCTTTCTGCTTCTTTTTCTTCTTTCTCTCTTTGTGTGTGTGTGTGTATGGTGGGGTTGAGGGGAATCAAGGAATTTACTTTATTGCTTTCCCAGTTATTATAAAAGGATGTTCATTACTTCTAACTAGCATTTCCAAGTTTTTGTCATAAATGGGAGGCCCTTCACATTAATTTGTGTACCTTGATGCCAAAAACAGAAGTCATTACATTAAAAAAAAAACAAACTCTCTCTACATATATATTTTCCGGCATATAAGTTTTCATATATATATATATATATAAAATTCCTATGTATATTTATATTTGAAGATTGGAAATACGTACCTAATTGCCTAATCTGTCACTTAAAATTTCTTTTTGGCCAGGTGCAGTGGCTCACATCTGTAATCCTAGCACTTTGTGAGGCTGAGATGGGAGGATCACTTGAGGTCAGGAGTTCAAAACCAGGCTGACCAACATGATGAAACTCCATCTCTACTAAAAAACAGAAAAATATTAGCTGAGTATGGTGGTATGCACCTGTAGTCCCAGCTACTCAGGAGGCTGAGGCAGGAGAATCGCTTGAACCCCGGAGATGGAGGTTGCGGTGGGCCAAGATTGCGCCACCAGACTCCAGCCTGGGCTACAGAGCAAGCAAGACTCCATCTCAAAAAAAAAAAAAAAAAAAAAAAAAATTTTTTTTTTTTTTTACTTAGAGACTAGATCTTGCTCTGTTGTCCAGGCTGTTCTCAAATTCCTGGCTCCAAGCAATCCTCCCACCTCAGCCTCCCAAAGTGCTGGGATTGTAGGTGTGAGCCACCACACTCAGCCTGTCACTGTTCACAAAATTATTTAATTTTTATATATGTAATTCATTTACATTAGGTCAGATATGAAAAAGTGTAAAACAGTGTACCGTGAAGTCTTTCTTCTACCATTATCCTCCTCCTGCCTAATTTCCATTGCTCCCAATAGGTAATAACTGTACTAATTTCTTGTTTTTTTGTCAAGACATATTTTTATACATATGTGACAATAACAATATGACATTGCTGAGTGTGGTGGCTCACGCCTGTAATCCTAGCACTTTGGGAGGCTGGGGTGGGTGGATCACTTGAGGCCAGGAGTTTGAGACCAGCCTGGCCAACGTGGCAAAACCTTGTCTCTACCAAAAATACAAAAAGTGTGGTGGCACACGCCTGTAATCCCAGCTACTAGGGTGGCTGAGACAGGAGAATTCCTTGAACCCGGGAGGTGGAGGTTTCAGTGAGCCAAGATTGTGCCACTGCACTTCAGCTTGGGTGACAGAGTGAGACTCTATCTCAAAAAAATAAATAAAAACAAAATAAAAATATGACATACCCTTCCACCCACCCCCTGCCTTTTTTTTTTTCTTTGGAGACGGAGTCTTGCACTGTTGCCAGGCTGGAGTGCAGTGGCACAATCTTGGCTCACTGCAAGCTCTGCCTCCCGGGTTCACACCATTCTCCTGCCTCAGCCTCCCAAGTAGCTGGGACTACAGGTGCCCGCCACCATACCTGGCTAATTTTTTGTATTTTTAGTAGCGACAGGGTTTCACTGTGTTAGTCAGGATGGTCTCAATCTCCTGACGTTGTGATCCGCCCACCTTGGCCTGCCAAAGTGAGCCACCACACCCAGCCTTTTTTTAGACAGAGTCTCACTCTATCGGCCAGGCTGGAGTGCAGTGGCACACGATCTCAGCTCACTGCAACCACCACCTCCCAGGCTCAAGCAATTCTCCTGCCTCAGCCTCCCGAGTAGCTAGGATTACAGCTGCCCGCCCCCACGCCTGGCTAATTTTTGTATTTTTAGTAGAGACGGGGTTTCACCATGTTGGCCAGGCTGGTCTCAAACTCCTGACCTCAGGTAATCTGCCCATCTCAGCCTCCCAAAGTGCTGGGATTACAGGCATGAGCCATCGTGCCCGGCCATTCCACCCCTTTTTTAACCCAGATGTTAATACACCATAAGTAATGCTCTGTACTTTGCTTCTTAAACAGATGTGTTAAAATATATCTTGGAGATCTTTCTTTGTCAGTCATGTAAGAAGCCTCCTTATTCTTTCTGTATGGTTGTACCAGGCAGTTGATGGACATTTAATCTGTGGTGCTTTCCATCACTTTTTCATCTAAGAGCTCACAGAGATTGTTCTCAGATGCCATTTTGTTTCACTTCTTTTTTCTTCAATAACCTCTTATCTTCCATTTACCCAGGATCAACTTGCAGCAGACATGTACAACTTTATGGCCAAAGAAGGGGAGTATGGCAAATTCTTTGTTACGGTAAGCACCTTCCCTTGAGAAAATGTTAAAGCATTGTTAAAATGGAGTCATTTTAGCTTTTTTGCAAAAGATTTCATTTTTAGTTTTGCTCAGCCATTGTGTGTGTGTCCATCCGATGCTAACGTTACTTTTGTTTTTGAATGTGGGTCTGTTCTCAGTTATTAGAAGCCCAAGCAGATTACCATAGAAAAGCATTAGCAGTCTTAGAAAAGACCCTCCCCGAAATGCGAGCCCATCAAGGTAATGTAACCCGCGTGCGGCTGATGCTTCCTTCTTGCCTCTGCCACCTCTGCCTGGGTTCTTCTTCACCCTGACTCCTCTGCATGCACGTCCTTGGGATAAAGCTTCTCTGCCTAGGAGGGTACTGTTTCCCAGCATAATTTCATCTTCCTTGCTGCATTCTCTAATTTCTTCCAAACCCAAATTAACACACTAATGGAACATTTGTAGTTCTTCTGAAACCTTCAGTTGAAGAGAAAGCTGGCCTCTTTGGGGAGTACCTGTGTGTTTTCCCATCTTCTGTAGGCTTGAAAAAGTCCAGCATTGAATGATCCTTTTCCACATCAGTTATTTGTTCCACAGGACTTAATTCTGGCCATGTGACTCCAAGAGCATCCATTCTAGGGAAAATATTTTGGACTTTCCAAAAGAGAAGCCAGTACTTGATGCCACATCATGCACGTCACACTTAATAATAAGTGTGATTGAATCCTAAGACCGTGGTCGCTTCGTTCAGACTCCTCCTTTGTCTTTATACTAAGCTTTTGTTCTTATCACCATTAATATTTCTCCTATCATATTCAAGCACACTGCAGATTGTATCTGCAAGTTAGGTGCAGACTGAACTTTCCCCTTATGTTGAATTTTAAGTTGGGCATCTAAAGCTGCTTTTTTTTTTTTCTCTCCCTAAAGCTTTCGATGCTGTGTCTCTCTGATTTACCATTAGAGCATTTACCAGCAGAGATGAGCACAGCTGTTGAGTCAGAAATTGCTCGGCCGTCTTTGGATCTATTTCACCTGTGGTGTAGACCTGACATTTGGAGCTTATGCTCCTCTGCAGAACCACTGGTCTTGAGCTGAAAGGGGATCAGGCCAGGTGCTGAGTGGGATGACTTTGTGATTTTGAGACCGAGCATGTGTCTGTGTGTGTTGTGGGGGGGATGCTTTGTGGATGTGCATACATACCAGCACCTTCAAGAATGCGACTTCTTCTCCCCCTAAGTTCCAGGAGATCCTCACAGGTTCTGGCTTTGTGCCTGAAAATTTTGGGATTATGGAATTATAAAATTTTATGTCTTGCCTGACCATATAGTCAGATCTTCAGCATTCTCAGGGGCAGTGTTTCTGATTTTCTCAGCCATTGCCCTTGCCTTCCCAAATAATCAAGATTATTAGTTCATGGAGGATGGTGTTGAGTCACAGTGCAAAGGAACGAGGTCTCTGGAAAATGTTCCCACCTTTCTAGGGACAGACTCTTGCTGGGCAAGTTCAGAGGACCAAGAAAATATATTTATGAGATATCTGCTGTGGGCTGGGCCCCGCATAGGACAAAATAGTAGACAAATCATCATTTTAGCCTTTGAATGGCTGAGAGTCTGATTTGAAAGAGTTGATTAACAAGAGGAAAAACGAGAGATTGGATTTTTTTTCGCATTTTGTTTGTTTGTTTGTTTTAAAGAGACAAAGTCTCACTCTGTTGCCCAGGCTAGACTAGAACTCTCATTCTGTTTTTTTCCCAAGGGTATTTTCCCTAGAGAAATACATCAGGAAGCCATGGAGAGCGGGGATGGGACAGGAAAGAGGTTAGGATGGAACAGCCCGTGGAGGAAGTGCGATTTGTCCTTCTTGCTGAGGTCACCCTTTACCGAGTTGCAATTCAACCCCTCCCACCTCTGCCTGTCCTTGTACCTGCCTTTCATCTTAGTTCTGTCTTTTCTTTCCTTGCTGTCTTCTCTGTTTTCAGAAAGACTTATCTTGTCCTTACTATATAAAAAAAGTGTGACCTGCCCCCACAGCCCCCTCACCTCCGTGGACTCTGGTGTCACATTCATGGTCAGTTGGTGGTAATCTGGTACCTTCCTGACCTGAACACAGCGTCCTGTTTAATCTGGTTCTCCTTCATTTTTTCTGGTGGGTACTTCAGATGACCCCTTCCTGCCTGCCACCTGCATTTTCTTACCACCTTCCTACTCCTGAATCCTTTGCACTCTTGTGTCTACCCCCAATCCCTCTGCTGTTTAGGAAAAAAGAGCAAAACATACTGCAGTTTTCAAAGGACCAGCAACCACCCGTCAGATCCTGGCATTTGACCCGGCATGGGCCGTCCCTTCCTTATTCATTTTTGTCTCCTCACGCCACTCGACTGTCTTCTTTCATTGTAAGGACTCTGCATTGCTCCATTTCTTTTTAAAAATTTTTCTTCAAGAAGGATTATATATTGCTCATTTCTGTCTCCACCCCAGAAGTCAGCCTTTTCTGAGGTCCAGTCCTTGCACCTCTGTTCTCTCCCACCCTCACTTCCTCGCCCCCTTTTCCCTAGAAATCCCCTTACTTGGACAGCTTTGCCTCTTACCTGCATTTTAATCCTTGCAGCCTCCTAAGCATCGGTTCCCTTTGATGAACAGCACTCACCTTAAACTCAAAAAGCAAACCAGTCCTCTTCCCACTCCAACTGTCCCTTTTCTCCCTTCTTGTCTCCCTTATATCACCTTTCTCCAAGTGATTCAGGTCTTAACCTTGGAACCCTTTTCTCCTTCCTCTCTTCCATCCAGTGCCTGGGTTCTGTCCATTTCGCCCTAGGCTCTGTCATCCTCTCTTCCCCTGGCCCACTCTGCTCCATGCTCTCACGGCCTTGGCGTGAACTTGGGATAAGATGTAAATTCCCAGACTCACAATTCCTGATCTTTTCTCAGCTGATTGCCCCTCACAAAGATGTGTTTGTCCGTTTTTCAGCCTGTTTAATCTCTGTCCGTCTCATGAGACCCCCTCCAACCTCATTTCCTTTGAGAAGCCTTCTCCGACAGCTGAAGCCAATGGCAAACACTTTGCCTCTTGAATTGTGCCAGCATTTATGGTCTACACCAGAAGTCGCAAACAGCCATATCTCATTAAAAATTGTTAAAAGTTGGTTGTCATCATGTGAAAACCAGATGGTTTGATGTAACAATTCTGATTTCTGGCTTCTCCTGAAAGTTGAGAACATCTGGCAACACTGGCTTTGCTTTCCCACGTGGCAGTGTTGGTTTGGTGCAGAGGAGTGGTTATCGCCTGTCGGCAGATCGTGCACTCCCAGCAGGATTTGTGCCCCTGTGCTACCTATCCGACTCCTCTGGACAATTGCATTTGCAACCCTTGTCTATACCATCGATCTGCCATGACTTAGCAAATATGTCTTGTCTTGTTATTGACTGTTCTGTGTTTACATGTGTGTCTTATATTCCCTTCACAATTCAATTGCCCTCTTCCTGAGGGTAGGGAGTCTCTGTTAACTTTACATGCCTCCTGCAGTACCTGACACATAGTAGGTCTGTTGTTTGAGAGGCCAGTGCCTGAGGTGGAATTTGCCTTATGACTTGCTTCTAGGTCAGTGGTTCTCACTTGCACCCTCTGTCAACATTATACCAGGCTTGGGGGTGGGGTACACTCTGTCCAGTGTTTACTAGAAAGTTCCAGCAGAGGTTTGAAGCATGCCCGCCCCTTAGCATTACAGGGTTGGGCTTGTGGTGAAGGCAATGGCGGGTGTCATTTGCAGAACCCCCCTGGGTGATTCCAGGGCATCCCCTAGTGGAAGGCTCACGTGGCCATTTTCAGCCTGTGTTGTAACTTATTGCTTTAGATAAAAGGGACAAAGTATTTCAGGTAAGATTTGACCTCTGGGAAGGTCCAGACCCCCAGATGCGTTTTCTATTGGAAATTCCCCAGCTGGGGCCGGGCCAGAGACGAGGAGGGCTCCCCACAATTCTGAGAGTGGCTGGTGGCCTGCACCTCATTTTTGTCCCCCACCTTCCTTTCCCTCACCCCTTTCTTCAGTCTTTACCTCTTGCTCTTTCCATCCATTTTTACCTTTCCACAAGCTCTCGGTTCTATGGATTTGTGGGATTTTATTTTTCTTCCTTCCCCATGTGCAAATCTACCCCTGCTGTGACATGGGAGAGAGTGTAAGAGGACACACCAGAGTACATACTGCCTTCTTCCAACCCAGCTTTCTAACAGCAGAGCTGCTAAGGGACCAATGGCCAGTAAAGGTGCAGAGAAGGACATGAACCCTTCCTGTTGTTGGAAAGATTTAAGTGTTTCTCCCTGGAGCAGTTTTCACAACTGGTTTGCCCTCCTTTGCTTCTGCGAGCTGCTCAGATAGCACTAGATCTCTGCAGCTTGCACAGGCAGGCCAAATTCAACCAGATACTTCTTATTCTAATTCATATGTCCGTTCTCTAAATTCTTCTTTCTATTTTACTGCTTCATTGTATTTGTGCTAAGCTGCCTCATAACCTGAAGATAATCTAAAATATGGCTTTCCTGCCATCAGCATAGCCTTCAGCTGCTTTAGGGCTGCAGATGCTGCATTTCTTTCCACTCAGAATTTTTCGGAGCTGTTTGGGGATGCGGTGTTCTGAAGCACTGCATGCCGCGGAGATGTCGCATCTGATGGAGAGTAACTGCAACGTGGAGAGTTCACGTTGGCCATCTCCAGTCTTGTATGACAGATACTTAACTTGTGTTTGAAATTTTCAGAGATCATTTCCATTTTTGCATAGCAAAGAATCTATTTCTTGTCCTCTAGCTAGAAGGCTTTGCATGGCTAGAATAAATTTCTTTTCAACGAAACGGTATGCTCTGGCAAATCTTCCTTTTGGTTCAAGGCAGCCCACTAAACCCGCTGGCGTGTGTTGATGAAGTGTGGTGCAGGTGCAGCGTGCCACTGCAGCTTCTGGGCAGCCTGAGTTGGTGCCATCTAGGTACGCTCAGGCTTCTGTTCCACAAGTAACCGCCCCAGCCTGGTCCATAGTTTGCTGCTCCAGTAGATGGCAAATAACAAAAGCAAATAGAACAGATGTATCCCCTCTTGCACAGCCTCACCTACCAGTCGGCTAGAAAAGCCCATTGGGTAGTTGGGGAGAAAATAGCTTGGTAATGCCGTGAGTTTGTTGGGTGTCTAACTGAACAATTTGCTGCTCTAGATAAGTGGGCGGAAAAACCAGCCTTTGGGACTCCCCTAGAAGAACACCTGAAGAGGAGCGGGCGCGAGATTGCGCTGCCCATTGAAGCCTGTGTCATGCTGCTTCTGGAGACAGGCATGAAGGAGGAGGTGAGGGGAGCTTCGTGATCCTGTGCACCAAGTCTCCATGCCCCTTGTTGTACCCAGAGCACCATGCTCCCCGCCAGCCCCCTGTCCACCCCTGCTTAGTTATACAGCCATTGTCCGTTTTGTGTAGAACAGTGGCTTTCAAGCTTTTGTCACCATGATCCATATTTTAAATTGCAACCCTGTTCCCTATGATACCTATCTGTCTATGAATGAAACAAAGGTTTTACAAAACAATGTTTACCTTTCCTGATTGTGGTACACCCTGACCTCTTTGTGTCCTGTTTGATTGTTTCATTTAAAACTCTGGTTGTGATTTGTGACAATAGATTTCGTGACGCACTAATGGGCTAAGGAGCTTTAGTTTACATTTGCATAGTATTATGCAGTTTTTTTGGTTGGAGGTCATTTACATACTTAATTTTACAGGATTCTTACCCCAAACCCCCCATGAACCAAATAAGGGAGTTTTTATTACTCTTCTTGTATAAATAAGGAAGTCAGCATGCAGGGAGTTTACTCCAGGTCAGAGCTAGAATCAAAATGCAAGGCTTTTTTTTTTTCCTTTTTAAAGCTTTGTATTGAAATAGAACGTACATACAGAAAAGCATACATATCATAGGTGTACAGCTTGATGTGCTTGCATGACTAAACCCACCCATGGAGTCGGCGCTCAGATCAAAGAACATCCCGGAAGCCCTCCTTGTGTTTGCTTCCAGCCACTCCCCTTCTAACAGCCTACATTGGTGCTTCTTGTCTGGGGCCAGATTTGCTCCCCAGGAGACATTTGTCAAGGTCTGGAGGTATTTTGGATCATCACAACTGAGAAGAGGAGGTGTTACTGTCATCTAGTAGTAGAGGCCATGTGTATTCGTCCATTCTCACACTGCTGTAAAGAACTACCTGAGCCTGGGTAATTTATGACGAAAAGAGCTTTACCTGACTCACAGTTCCACAGGCTGTACAGGAATCGTGGCTGGAGAGGCCTCAGGAAACTTACAGTCATGGCGGAAGGGGAAGCAGGCAGTGTTCACGTGGTGGAACAGGAGGGAAAGAGCGAGCATGCGCACAAAGGGGGAGTTGCTACACACTTTCAAACAACCAGATCATGTGAGATCTCACTCACTATCACAAGAACAGCAAAAGGGAAATCCACCCCCATGATCCAGTCACCTCCCACCAGGCCCTGCCTTCAACACTGGAGATCATACTTCCACATGAGATTTGGGTGGGGACACAGAACCAAACCATATCACCATGGATTCTGCTAAACATCCTACAGGGCACAGGACAACCTCCAACAAAAAATCATCCAGCCTAAAATGTCCATAGTGCTGAGGTCAAGAAACTCTGCCCAGATTAATTTTCTTCCTGCCTGTCCCTGTGCTTGGGTGCGTGCTCAGCCCTCATCATTCCTCCTGACAGCCCTGCAGGGCAGGCAGTAACACTGCTTTCATAGACAGGAGGTGAGCGGAAGTCAGGAAATACCCATCAGAACACACTGCCACTTAGTCTGAGTGTCCCAACCTGCACTTGATGCTGATGGCTTTTCATTATCTTTAGGGCCTTTTCCGAATTGGGGCTGGGGCCTCCAAGTTAAAGAAGCTGAAAGCTGCTTTGGACTGTTCTACTTCTCACCTGGATGAGTTCTATTCAGACCCCCATGCTGTAGCAGGTGAGCGCCAAAGAGTGTCTGCAAATCAAGTCACCCTCAAGGCGGTGGGCAGGTTCTGTCTCAGACAGATGGTCAGTTAAAATCCAATTTCAGTTACAGGTTTAAGTGACAAAACCGAAGTGGCTCTTGCTACAATTCCTTAGTGTATATACAATGTAATGTACACTGTGTCTTCTTTACTCCTTTTCTGTTTTTCTATTTTGATGATTAAAAGAGAGAGTAGCTTATAATGCAAATATTTGGAGACATATTTGTATTTTCTTCCCATCTTTCACAGTCTCCCCCCACCAAATTCCTTTCTACCTGGAGAAATTATGTCTGTTAAGGGGATGACTTTAAAACTAATTTTATTTGTAATTGATCTCTTAAAACTTTTTTTTTTCAGAGATTGAATTTGTTTTATGAACATTTTAGTCTCTAACAACTCTTGCCAACTTATGATTTGTTATGTACACCTTGGAAGATCGTTATTGAGATCATTTCAATTTGCAAAATAATATGTCCCAAGATTCCTAGCCTTACCCCTTTTTCATACTCAAAGAGAGTGTTAATGATTTCAGGTGCTTTAAAATCCTATTTACGGGAATTGCCTGAACCTTTGATGACTTTTAATCTGTATGAAGAATGGACACAAGTTGCAAGGTAAGTTTAAAGAACACAGAGTTGTAAATGTTAAAGGGAATGAAGTGATATTGTGCCCTATTTGCAAATCATTTTATTCTCAGGGATCATAAGATTAAAATAGCGTATTTGTTAAATAATACATGTCTCAGCTCTTATTTATGTTTAGAATAAAAATATCAAGTATTATAATTATTAGTGTAGGAAAGTCACCACGTAGGCATTGGTTTAAATTTGTGTTATTTAGGTGGATGAAGACATAGAGTGGTACCCACATTAATGGATTTGCAAATTTCCAGCCCCCTTTATGTTGAAGAAAGCCCTGTAACTGGGGATAGGGGTCATACTGACCCGTGGCAGTGTGCCTTTTGAGCTGTGTGCAGTCTCACCTGTGCGATAATACAGTTGGCCTTTAAACAGCATGGGGATTAGGGGCATTGATACCCTACATAATTGCAAATTCAAGTATACTTTTAACTCCCTCAAAACAACTAATAGCATACTGTTGACTGGAAGCCTTACTGATAACCTAGTCAATTAACACATATTTTGTATGTTGTATGTATTATATACTGTATTCTTACAATAGATAAGCTAGAGAAAAAGTACTATTAAGAAAATTGTAAGGAGGAGACAATCTGTTTACTATTCATTAAGGGGAAGTGGATCATCTTAAAGGTCTTCATCCTTGTCTTCATGTCGAGTAGGTTGAAGAAGCAGAGAAAGTGAAGGGGTTGGTCTTCCTGTTTCAGGGGTGGCAGTTCATCTGTGAGTTTTTTCAGATTGTCCGAGATCTCCAGGAATTTTCCTATATGTTTATTGAAAAATTTGCATATAAGTGGACCTTGTGTTGTCAGCTGTATAATGATGACATTAATATTTACTGAGCATTTTCTTGTGCTAAGTACTGTGCTCATCTTTGTAGCTATTACCTCCTGTAATCTTTAATTAACGTTATAAAAGGCAGATGATGTTGTGATCCACATTTTACAGAGAGGAAACTGAGGCTTGGGAGGGAACAGGGCCAGGAGAGTAGCAAGTAATTGGCAGAGCTAGAATTCAAACCAGACAGACCCAAATGCTATATTCCTCTACTTCGTCCCTTTCCCTCCACCCTCAGCTTCAGTCTGTCTAGGAACAGATGATTTTAAGCAGGACAGCTTTGTTTAAAAAGCCTAGAGGCTTCTGCTTGGCTGGCCAGCCCACCTCCTCGTCTTTTTTCTCATGGCGCTGACTCCCCTCCTCTCCAGAGTGCCTACTCCTCACCACTAAGGGAAGAGGAACAAATCTCACCTCTGTTCTGTCCTCTTCCCCGTCTACGGACACTGCCCCTGTTCCCTGCAGGCAGGCCATGATCAAATAAGAGCCACTTATTTCTGATCAGTTACACTTCAGTGGATGTGAGTCCATCGCTTGTGTCTTTAACCAGGTTTTGCATTTGAGCTTTTTTCTTTTTTTTTTTTTTTTTTTTTTGAGTTGGAGTCCCACTCTGTCGCCCAGGCTGGAGTGCAGTGGCACAGTCTAGGGTCACTGCAACCTCCACCTCCCTGGTTCAAGCAATTCCCCTGCCTCAGCCTCCTGAGTAGCTGGGATTACAGGCGCACACCACCATGCCTGGCTAATTTTTTTGTATTTTTAGTAGAGACAAGGTTTCACCATGTTGGCCAGACTGGTCTCAAACTCCTGACCTCAGGCAATCTGCCTGCCTCGGCCTCCCAAACTGCTGGGATTACTGGCATAAACCACCGCGCTCAGCCGCATTTGAGCTTTTCTCTGTAATTGTGGAATGAGACTTTGTCCCTGGTAGATGGTGAGGTTTTTAAGTTCAGAGACAAGTTCTTAGTCATCACGTATCCTTGGAACCCTGCCTGGGGCCCAGCCTGCTGTCAGTATTAATGTTTATGGGACAGAATTCAGTAGAATCCAACATCAGTGTTAGGTAGAAGAGAGTTGTGGGATTTCTTTTATTGGCTAGCCTCCTACCCAATAAAAGATTTCCTTGTTTATTACAAGGAAATAAACTTGTAAAAGAAGGCGTCTATCTGTTGGTATATTGATTCTATAGTTGAGAATTGTCAATATGGGTGGGCTTCCATCCCAGTAACACATCGACTGGCCTCTAAAGTGTAATTATGTTTAATCCCTATCCATGTTCTCCAGAATGGTTCTGTTCTGGAGGATATTTCACGTTCAAAGTGGTGTTATAGAGGCCCCTTTAACACTCTTGGTCCCTAGTGGGCAGAGTTGGCCGTGCTCTACAGGCTCCTCACTGCCCCTTTTTTATGTCTCTGCAAGTTTGTACGTTGCGCCTGTGGAGTGCAAGAGCTCTTACAGTTGCTTCACAACAGAAATGGGCTGCTTGATGTGCAGCCAGTTTGCAGTATTGCAAGCGAGGAAAGACCCAGAGGTCTGGGTGCCTGGGAGCTCAGCCCCCTGATCTGTGGCTGGGCTGCTTGAGGGTAGGAGAATTTGGGTTCTGTAAAGCCATACGTCAGTACACACTTTTTCTAGACAGAATTTTCAGTAGTGTCTTGTCTCTTCTGTGCCAAGCATTGGTGGAGGTGGTTTTGTCACAGACGCCTCAAAATCGTTCAGCAGAATCAACACTTACCCTGTTTTGCACATCCAGAGATTGAAGGTTAACCAACTGCGCAGAGTTAAACAGTTAATTGGTATTTGACTCTAAATCTGTTTATTTCCATAGCATGGGCTGTTTTCCAACTGTGCTTTCTCTGTCAAAATGGAGGCCTCATTTTTAACATAGCATATTAATAAGATAATTGGTGTCTTAATAAGTTGTTGTACTTAAAAGTTTTTGTTCTCAGTGTGCAGGATCAAGACAAAAAACTTCAAGACTTGTGGAGAACATGTCAGAAGTTGCCACCACAAAATTTTGTTAACTTTAGGTATGTATGATTGAGCTACAATGACTCTGGAGTGAAGATAAGTTTAATGCCCAGCAGAGAAGTCATTTAATTCAGGCATACTTGGCACATTAAAAAACAACAACAACAACAAAAAAAACCACATCACTTTGGAGAGTAACTTGGGGCTACTGGGAATGGGATTTCATGTATATTATGATGAATTTGAAGCATCAGTATCATGCCTGACATTAATACGTAAGTTGGCTTATCATTTTCCCACTACAGCTATTAGCAATAAATTTCTTGTGAAAAGTTTGAGTGACTGTATGTTGGGTTTGGAGTCCAAATCATCCAGTATGTTAAAAGGCAAAATTAATCAATAATTGTACATTCTGTAATGTCTTTTATATATGCTACTTAATTTAAAGTATAAATCATCTTACTAAATAAAATTTCAAAGAATGGAGATTATATATTGCTTTGTGGAATAACTGTGGTTTTAAGAAAATTTACCATGGGACAAAACTTCCATAATGTAACTTCTGTTTTCCTTTTGACTTAATATGTAACTTTGAACAAGTATAGAGAAAAGGAAAAAGTGGCCTCAGGTGGTAAAGTCACTCAAAACCAAACAAAGAAAATTTTCTAGAAAGTGCCCCTAGAAAATTTTCCTTGTTTGGTTTTGAGTGACATTAAGTGACCAGTCAGAATAGTTTACAGGTGATATGCCTGGAATGTTACTTGTCCTTAAATTCCGCCTTGGGCTCTCCTACTAAGCTAAGCTACATACTGCCTTTTAAATATTCCCTTTGATTAATTTAACTCACCCACCTTGGAATTACAGATACTCTTCCTCTATTCAGTGTATATGGTGAGAGCTCAGTACTTCTTAGTATGTTGAGAGTTTGGCTCTTTATTTTGTTTATTTTACTCTGTAATTGTTACTAATTGATTTTTGAATAGGGAGCACATTCCCATGGTTCAAAATTCAAATGGTATACGATGAAAAATCTCTCTCCTGTTCCCATACCCCAGCCACCCAGTTCCTCTCCTGGGATGCATCCAGTGTTTACAGTTTCTTATATATCCTCTCAGCAAGAGTTAATGTAGACGTAAGCAGATACATTCGTGTGTACATACTTGCCTGTGTGTTTTTCCTCTCACACCCCCTTTTTAAAAAACCAAATGGTAGTGTATATTGTATACGTCATTCTCCCCCTTACCTTTTTTGCTTGACAGCTTAAGGTATTTGCGTAATACATCTTGGAGATTTTTCCTTCTCAGTACATTTTGTAATGATGGTAGCATAGTCCTCCACTGTATGGATATACTGTGATTTATTTAAGCAGCTCCCTATTGATAGGTTGTTCTTACGTTTTTGCCTTTATATGACTGTACTTATACATAAGGTAGGTATATATGATAAATTGGATATTTTTATAATTCCACCATAAAGTGTTTTCAAATACAGTTTCCTGTAAGCAATATAACTGTGTCTGTTTTTGTATTTAAAAATATTGAGCTCACTATTAACACATTATAACTTATAATAGGGGTAGAATAGATAGGACATAAAGGAGAAATTGATTAGAAATATACAGCCAATAGGGGTTCAAATCACTGAGATTTAGACTTAACCTATTTTCTTCTTCCAAGCCCTAATTAGTCTATTATCTGAAGCAAAGAACACAAGAAATGTATAAAATGCTTCACCTGAGCCAGATTCTGATTTAGGAACCCTCTGCAGTTAGCACCTGAGCAAACTGGGATTGTGCACCCAGGCAGGAAGAGAACATTCCAGCAGCTATTTCAGAGGAGAAACCCTCCCCTTCTCTTTTGACCCCTAGATATTTGATCAAGTTCCTTGCAAAGCTTGCTCAGACCAGCGATGTGAATAAAATGACTCCCAGCAACATTGCGATTGTGTTAGGCCCTAACTTGTTATGGGCCAGAAATGAAGGGTAAGTCATCTTTCTCTGTATCATTTGAATTTCTTCTTTCCCACCTGATGGGATGCATAGAAATGTAACTCAGGTTACACATTCTAGTTTAAGATCAATTCAAGGTATTCTGAAGTTGGTTTTCTCATTCAGCCTATATTCTTGGAACACAGCTGTGAGCTGGGTGCTGTCCCAGCTGGTGGTGACACAAAGATGTGTGAGACATTGTCCCAGTTCTCAAAATGCCCCTGCTCTTAGGCAGTCAGATAGCTCAGTGGCTACAGTACAGTGATAAGAAAAATACACATATTTATGTGTGTGTATATATGATATTGTAGGAGGGGTAGCACTTCCACCCTCTTAGGGTGTCTGGCTGGGCCTGAGAACTAAATGGACATAAGACAGGTTAACAGGAGAAAGCATACAGATTTTTACATTTTAATGCCCAGCAGAGAAGCCATTTAATTCATGCCTACTTAGCACATTAATAAAAAAACACATCACTTTGGAGAGTAACTTGGGACTACTGGGAATGGGATTTCACGTATATTATGATGAATTTGAAGCATCAGTGTCATGTCTGACATTGGAGTTCCCATAGGAAAAGGAAGATCCAAAGAAGCAGGTGGAACTGAATGCTTATATATGAAGTTGGACAAAAAGTAAATTGTGAAAACGTGACCAGACAAAGGAGCATGGGCTAGGGCAGTTAGTTGTGGAGAAGTGACTAGGAAGATAAGGATTCGTTCAGCAAGGTTTGTTTATGGAGGTTTCCCTCAGCCTTGCCTCCCCGTCCCTGGTGTTAGGAATGTTTCTTTCCTCCTGGTATAAGGAGGGCATCCTTCACATGGGAGTTTATCTCCTGCTTTCAGGATGAAAAAGGAAGGTCGGAGCCCTCTTCTTGCATGTGATGGTTTTCAAGTGTCTTTAACTCAAAATAATCCTATGCCTAAGGAGCATATTTTGGGATAGCGTATTCTGCCCCCTTTATCAAGTATGACGGCAGCAGAGGTAAAGAAACATAATTCAGGCTGAGAAGTCAGGGAAAGCTCTGGTTAGGGAATGGCACTGGAGCTGTACCTTGATGAGTTAACAGTTTCGTACAGCCAGGACCTGGATGGGCCAAGACACTGTTGAAAGGGCCTGGTTTCCATCGTTTATGGGCATGTCACGTGGCTTCGTGAAACTTGAAGACAGAGAACATGAGGCTGTGACTGGGAAGGCCAGAGCCTTCAAGGGCCTCACACATTGTACTGAGGTGTCTGGGACTTATTTTCTGGGTGGTGGGGAGTCATTCATTAAGGTTCCTAAGCAGAATAATGTCTTAAGTTGCACTTAGATAACTTTATTGGCATTGCAAAATGTAGATTGAATAGAGGAGGGGTCGGGGGATCCGCTGGAAAGCTTCTGGGAAATTGTCACTCTGTGGATGGCATTGTGATGATCTCATTTAGTAATCAGAAGTAACCTTTTGAATAGAGGACATAAAGGAGAAATTGATTAGAAATATATAGCAAATAGAGGTTGAATCATTGACATTTATACTGTTGTCCTTGTTTTTGCAGATGAGGACGCTGACTCTTAGAAAGAAAAAGTAATTTGCTTAAGGTCACACAGCAGGGAACTGGTGTGCCCAGGTTCTGGATACAGAGCCTGTGTCCTTATTAACCCTTATTAGCTTTCCAGTACTCTCCTAAAAGAAAAATGGGAAAGGATGGAGAGGACAGTTCCTCCCTAATCCAGCAGAGTTTTAAGGCACACAGACTGATCAGATTCCACATGGGAGGAAGGCTGGGAAGGATCATTTACAGGCAGAGCTTCAATTTTAAGCTGGAATTTGAAAGGAGCAAGAAATTTTACTTGGTCGGAAAGTGGGTGAAAATACTCTGATGGGAAGAGAGGTCAGAGTGATAGGAGAGGAGAGGTTTGAGGCAGTCAGACCTGGGATTGAGCTTGGGAACCCAGTGTCCTCATGTAGGCCTCATAACGGGTTGTTGTAAAAATTAAGCGAGGTGAAGAACCTGAAGCCTGGTAGGTGGCCAGAAAGTGTCAGGCCTTTTGCAGGTGGTTTGCTTTTGTGGTGTTCTGACTCTCAGCTGAAACAGGAGCTTGATAGCAGTGATAATAACTCTTACTTTTTTCTTCTTCTTCTTCTTCTTTCTTCCTTTCTTTTTTTTTTTGAGACAAGTTCTCGCTTTGTTCTCCAGGCTGGAGTGCAGTGGTGTGATCATGGCTCACTGCAGCCGCAACCTCCTGGGCTCAGGCTATCCTCCAACCCCAGCCTCTCCGGTAGCTGGGAATACAGATGCATGCCACCACACCTGGCCAATTTTTGTATTTTTGTAGAGATGGGATTTCACTATGTTGTCCAGGCTGGTCTTGAACTCCTGGTCTAACTGCCTCAGCCTCCCAAAGTGCTGGGATTACAGGTGTGAGCCACTGCGTCTGGCCTACTTATTTTCTTCTTTTTGAGCCTTGGCGTCAGACACTATTAACATCTGAACACTCATCTTGAGACTAGTCCACATATATGATGACCTTACGTGTGAATGGGAGGCTCAGGTTTCAACATAATAAAAGGCACATTTGCCAGGCGCGGTGGCTCACGCCTGTAATCCCAGCACTTTGGGAGGCCGAGACGGGCAGATCACAAGGTCAGGAGATCGAGACCATCCTGGCTAACACCGTGAAACCCTGTCTCTACTAAAAATACAAAAAATTAGCTGGGCGCGGTGGCAGGTGCCTGTAGTCCCAGCTACTCGGGAGGCTGAGGCAGGAGAATGGTGTGAACCCAGGAGGCGGAGCTTGCAGTGAGCTGAGATAGCGCCACTGCACTCCAGCCTGGGCGATAGAGCGAGATTCTGTCTCAAAAAATAAAAAATAAAAAAATAAAAAATAAAAGGCACACTGTAACAATGCATGTTCTTGGTGATATCGTAGGCAAAATTGCTTTTTAGTAATCTTTAGTCTTAGAACATAGCTACCACCCATGTGTGATGCTATTCCAGTGGGAAAGTGCAACCCTCTTTACAGACCAGTTTAAAACCAGCATTTGACACAGCATTGTTGACTGACTGGTTTTGCTGCCCCCAGGGTCTGTGTGTAGCAGACACTGTGGTTGTTATCACAGTGCACACTAAGGAGCAGCCAAGCCAGAGTCATTTTTTCCTGGGTGATCACGGCCACATTCATAGACCAGGACCATGTGAATTTGATTTTTTTTTTTTTTTTTTGAGACAGAGTTTCGCTCTGTCACTAGGCTGGAGTGCAGTGGCCTGATCTTGGCTCACTGCAACCTCCATCTTCCGGGTTCAAGCGATTCTCCTGCCTCAGCCTCCCGAGTAGCTGGGACTATGCGAACGCACCACCACGCCTGGCTAATTTTTGTATTTTTAGTACAGACGGGGTTTCACCATGTTGGCCAGGATTGTCTCGATCTCTTGACCTTGTGATCCGCCCGCCTCAGCCTCCCAAAGTGCTGGGGTTACAGGTGTGAGCCACCACACCCGGCCAGTGATTTTGATTTTTGCATCTTTTAAATATTTTATCCTTTAAAAATAATTGAATTGCCCTGACACAACCAGAAGAAATTAGATGCTGCCTACAGGAAGTATTTTAATTTTGTGAACTTGCTTTGCAGAACACTTGCTGAAATGGCAGCAGCCACATCCGTCCATGTGGTTGCAGTGATTGAACCCATCATTCAGCATGCCGACTGGTTCTTCCCTGAAGGTAATTCTCACTTCAGTTTCATTGACCGCCAAAGCAATGTGATAATCGTACAAAAAGTCTTCTTAAGAGAATACATCTGTAATCCTTCTTCATGATTACGTAATTGGTTTCACTTTTTCATGTTTCTTTCCAGCCTTTGTTCATTGCATTTGTATTTTGACATGATGGTAATCATATTGTATTGTATTTCACTTAGTTTCACTAAAACATAGCCAGTCAGTGTATGTTGAATACCCACTGGGTGCCATATGTTTGCTGGTGAAACATGCCGTCTTACCTGGGGGAACTCCGGCCACTGGAGAAGATGGCCACATGAACAGATAAATTATAACACAAGGCACATTAGAAGATAGGTGGATGGAGAAAGATTTGACAAACTCAAGTGCTGGGAAAAGGGAACCAGGGATTGGTTTTTAGAAGAGGCGATGTTGAATATGCTGGAGTTTTTCACTTGGAAGAGGGCTTGTTTCTCTAGCTAGATTATGGATTTGCCCATAGATAGGAGATAAAGCAGGAAAGGTTGATCGGGGCCAGCTGGTGAAGGCCTGAGTTGGCTGTGTCAGGGAATTAGTATTTCATCCTGCTGGCAATAGATTTTCAAACTAGGTTTGTTGCAGTTCTGGGATCCACAGAGGTTCCCATGGCCCCCTTTGGGGATGCTGGCCAGGCAAGTGTTGGAATTCCGGATCCCCCACACCTACTTCCCCCAGAGCAACCCTGCTGCCATGTCCCGTGGGGTGCAAGCCCCATGATACCCATCTTTCCCTCACCACTGAGCCCATCTTTTCTTTACCACTGTTTTGTCACCATCAGGAATCACGCCTCATTCATATAGGTTGCCCAGTGAGGATGGGATGGATGAGCGAATGCTAGCATTCTGCTCAAGGTTTCCTTTGAGGAAATGATTCTTGCAAAAACTGCTAAAGGCAGTATGAACTTGATGTTGCCTTTTATTTCTATTTTATATTAAAGTGTAAATATCTCTCTTTTTTTTTTTTTTTTTGAGACAGAGTCTTGCTCTGTCGCCCAGGCTGAAGTGCAGTGGCGCGATCTCGGCCCACTGCAACCTCTGCCTCCCAGGTTCAAGCGATTCTCCTGCCTCAGCCTCCTGAGTAGCTGGGAATACAGGCATACATCACCATGCCCAGCTAATTTTTTGTATTTTTAGTAGAGACGGGGTTTCACGTTCTTGGCCAGGCTGGTCTTGAACTCCTGACCTCAAGTGATCCGCCTGCCTTGGCCTCCCAAAGTGCTGAGATTGCAGGCATGAGCCACCACACCCAGCTAAATGTCTCTTTTTGAATGATTCAAATAAGTGATCTGTGCTCATCGTCCTCTTCTACATTCTAGATTTGTTTTTATTTATTTTTTTTCCACAAAAGAGAAAGCACAAAAGTGTGTAACTTATATTCTGACCCATACTTCTTCCCCTGTCTTGTCCTCTTAACATTACTTCCCACTGGTTTGATGGACCATTCTTGCGATGTGAGTGCCTGGAGCTTCCACTTTGAAATAGTGAGGGCTGTGGACTGAAGAACGAGGTTCCCGTTCCAATGAGGGGTGTCTTAGAGCTCCCTCGCCTGCTGTGCTCAGTGTCTCATGCACTTGTTTATTTTTCCTCTTGCAGAGGTGGAATTTAATGTATCAGAAGCATTTGTACCTCTCACCACCCCGAGTTCTAATCACTCATTCCACACTGGAAACGACTCTGACTCGGGGACCCTGGAGAGGAAGCGGCCTGCTAGCATGGCGGTGATGGAAGGAGACTTGGTGAAGAAGGAAAGGTATGATTTGACCGTTCACTTCCAAACCAGCAGTAAATATGTTGTTAGACCCGTGGTATCTGGTATCGCTCAGTGGACTTGGGATTTGAGAGTGGTCGCCATCCACCCATGACTGATGGTGTCCAGATAGTTTCTGGAATTCTGCTGTAGGTCATTCCAAGCACTAATCTCACCATAAAGTCAGTGTGTAGCTTCTCAGTTAACGTTTCTTCCACGTGTATTCCAGCTTAACTTGGTGGTGTGCTTGGTAAGCCCTGCAGTGGAACGGCATCATACACATGTTAAAAGTGACCCAGATGTACGTGAGTGGGGGGAAACAGAAAGGAAAATAAATTCAATAGTGTGGACTTTTGTCCAGAATTGAGTGTGAGAACACCCACCTGGCACAGTGAGTTGAGTGATTTGGCGTTTAAGGAGACATATTTCTGGTATAATGTGGCCCCACAATGGAAGCCAACCACTGAATTTGATGTTCAGTGGGAAAAACCTCAGTATTTGCCAATTCTAGAAGAAAAAAAAATGGCAGTGTTGAACTTAGTGAGAAGCAGTGTGTCTCTATATACTCTTTTCTATGGGCAATTCATGGGATTTTCAAGGGTGATTAAGACTGTTTGTAATTTGTGCCTTTGGATGCCAACCTGTCCCATGTGTGTGATGAAATGCCACTGTACTCACTAGGAATGCTAACAGTTAAGAGGCCTGTTGGAAGTAATATGCTTTTCTTGGTATATTAAATAATACTACTAGAAATAGTTTTACATTAAAACGAAGTGACAAGCTCTTATTTTAATTGCTCAGTCTTATAGTGAGGTGTGCTGTTTGTTTCTTGTTCTTTGTATTGCATTTTTTACCCCTAGCAAAGGAGAATGCATTATTCTGTCCCTATTCTGTCCTTCCAAAATCCACATTTATTCTATGCAGACGTATTACCTCTCTGAACCCTCATTCATACATTCAGTAGTATTTCCTGATGACAGACTCTACCTGTAACAAAATTAGCTTTCATATATTTTAAGTTACAGAATACAGTGCATGAGTCTAGTTAGCACGTGACAGACAATTCTCAGTTACCTGCCTTGTGTATTCTCCCTGCCAGCTGACCCAGTAAGCACGAGCTCAAGAAGCCAGGTATCTTTTTACTTTTTGAACTGAAAGAAAAAGTTGTTAAGTTCATAGATCAGTCGCCTTAAGTGAAAAGTCAGCCTTCCTTCCACCCTCTCCAGCCACATCCAGCCACCATTCCCTTCCCCAAAGCAACGGCTTTTTCCAGTCTTTTTGGTTTTTGTTTTTTTGAGACAGGGTTATGTGCCCAGGCTAGAGTGCAGTGGTATGATCATGGCTCACAGCAGCCTTGACCTCCTGGGCTCAGGCAGCCCTCCCACCTCACACACCTGACTAGCTGGGACTATAGGCACGCACCACCTCACGCAGCTAATTTTCTAAAAAAATAGTTTTTTGTAGAGACAGGGCCTCACGATGTTTCCCAAGCTGGTCTTGAATTTCCAAGCTAAAGCGATCCTCCCACCTTGTCCTCCCAAAGTGCTAAGATTACAGGTGTGAGCTACCATGCCCAGCTTTTCCAGCCTTATGTACCTTTCACATGTAGTCTGCATATGCACATAGGATTGTTTCTACATCTCATCTCAGTTAAGAGGCAGTGTGGTGTGATAACCTTACACTGCCATTGGTAGGCCTTCTGGACTTGACTTCTGTGTCATTCCCCAAAAACAGATTTGAGATGGGAACTAGGAAGTATGGAAATAGGCCGGATGTGGTGACTTATGCCTGTAATCCCAGCACTTTGAGAGACCAAGGCAGGAGGAATACTTGAGGCCAGGAGTTTGACATCAGCCTGGGCAATGTAGTGAGACCGCATCTCTACAAAAAAAAATTTTTTTTTAGTATCCCAGTATGGTGATGTGTGCCAGTAGTCCAAGCTGCTCCAGAGGCTGAGGCTGGAGGATTGTTTGAGCCCAGGAGTTTGGCACTGTAGTGAGCTATGATTGCTCCACTGGAGTGCCAAGCACTCCAGCCTGGGTGGTGGAGTGAGACCACATGTCTAAAGGGGGAAAAAAACAGCAGAGGAAGTATGGGGATAAACACACTAACATGATGTCATTCAAGATGAGGCCTGCCTATTTGCTTTTAGCTGCTCACACCCAAATTGATCAAAGACATTGAACAGTACCAGGTTCATTGGCTTTGCTCAGGCTTGAAGCCGAGTGGAGTTGCTCAGGGGTGGCCATTAGTCTGGTCCTTGCCGCTTCACTGCATGCCGGGCAGCTTGGGTGGCTATCCCCATGTGTGGTTTTAACACATGTGGACCGATGGGCTTCTGTCTCAGTAGTCTGCTCGCATGGTGTGTTGACTGTTTCTTCTCTCTGTGTAGCTTTGGTGTGAAGCTTATGGACTTCCAGGCCCACCGGCGGGGTGGCACTCTAAATAGAAAGCACATATCCCCCGCTTTCCAGCCGCCACTTCCGCCCACAGATGGCAGCACCGTGGTGCCCGCTGGCCCAGAGCCCCCTCCCCAGAGCTCTAGGGCTGAAAGCAGCTCTGGGGGTGGGACTGTCCCCTCTTCCGCGGGCATACTGGAGCAGGGGCCGAGCCCAGGCGACGGCAGGTAAGGAGGCTGACTTCTGCTGGCAGTGGAGGCTGGACGCCCCAGCCTTCTTGCAGGTGGTGGCCTTTGAGCACGGCATCCATGCCCAAAGAACTGCTCCAGCATGGAGTGAACAGATTTACTTTCACTCCTCTGGTTGGCAAAAGATGGAAAAAAAGACTATGAATGGCTCGCTTCTTTTTATGTTTTCCAAAGAAAGCAACATTGGTTTGCATTCTTTGCCACACTGCTTTGGTGCTGGAAACCGGAAGCCAGTGGATGTCTCATAGTGTGATGAGCCTCTGTCACCTGTTGGATGTATACTGTCAGCATTCATGTACCTTCTGTTCATTGTCATCCAGTGTGCTAACCAGGAAGCATTTGAGTGTGGCAAGTTAGTTAAATTTTCGTATTCCTGGCATTTATTCACCCATTCGTTGATTGATTCAGTGAAACAGATTTACTGAGTCACTGATATGTGCTAGGCACATGAGGTGACTAAGACTCCACTCCACACCCCCAGATTTCAGTCTTGTAGGGCAGTTGATCCATGAGTCCAAGGTGGAAAATAAGATGGTAGCTTTTCTTTTTTCTTTTTTTTTTTTTTTTTTCTGAGACTGCGTCTTGCTCTGTTGCCCAGGCTGGAGTGCAGTGGCATAATCGTAGCTCACTGCACCCTCCGCCTCCTAGGCCCAAGCAATCCTCCTACCTAAGCCTCCCAAGTAGCTGGGATTACAGGTGCTTGTCACCATGCCCAGCTAATTTTTTTATTTTTGTAAAGATGGGGTAAACATAGATGCCCTAGGTTGCCCAGGCTGATCTCGAACTCCTGGCCTCAAGTGATCTTCCTGCCTCAGCCTTCCAAAATGCTGGGATTACAGGCATGAGCCACCATGCCTAGCTGGTAGATTTTCTTAAAAGGCTCTTTTAGTTGCTTAACCTTTGGATAAGCCACCTGGAGTGGGCTGCAAATGGATAGCAACTTTTAAGAAAAGTCACCTTGAACTTGAGGTTTTTTTTTTTGAGACAGTCCCACTCTGTCGCCTAGGCTGGAGTGCAGTGGTGCAATCTCGGTTCACTGCAACCTCCGTCTCCCGGGTTCAAGTGATTCTCTTGCCTCAGCCTCCGGAGTAGCTGGGATTACAGGCACACACCACCATGCCAGGCTAATTTTTTTGTATTTTTAGTAAAGACAGGGTTTCGCCATGTTGGTCAGGCTGGTCTCAAACTCCTGACCTCAGGTGATCCCCCTGCCTTGGCCTCCCAAAGGCTGGCATTACAGGTGTGAGCCACCGCGCCCAGCCATAACTTGAGATTTTTATTTAATTGACATTAATTCAGTTCTCCACACTGATCCAGGCAGATGACCACCAGAGGCTACTTCAGGTGGCATCTCTTGTGGTTTGGAACTGACAGCTGCTTAGCTTTGCATACATGTGTGCCAAAATTTTTGTTGTCATATGTTCTGCATTGGCCATCCACAACACACCGAATGATCATATATGAAGTAAAATAAATGTGCACAAAACAAGGACAGGCTGTTTATCCACACGTTTATTTCCCACACAGAGAGATGAATTTGCCTTGAAAGAACTCCTTTCTCATCGTCCTTGGGATGAGCAAGGGAGAGCCTTGTTGTGTGTGAAGCTGCTCGTGAGATAGGAATCTTGTTTCACCATTAAAACTGAATGCTGAATGCTTTGTGCATTCCTGAATTCCATTTTCTTCACCTTGGGAAAGTTTACTTTGGGGTTAAAAAAAATTAAGACTTCAGACTTCTTAGGGCTTCCCGTGCACCTCATAGGCTGCACGTTAGCTTGTCAATAATTGTGCCCTATGCATGTACTTGTTTTGGTTTAAATTTTTTTGTTTGAAGGAAAAAAGTCTAAGCAAATTCACTTATTTTCTTTTTCTTGGTTTTGTTTTTTATTTTTATTTATTTTTATTTATTAATTTATTTTTTGAGACGAAGTCTCGCTCTGTTGCCCAGGCTGGAGTGCAGTGGTGCAATGTTGGCTCACTGCAACCTCTGCCTCCTGGGTTCAAATGATTCTCCTGCCTCAGCCGCCGGAGTAGCTGGGATTACAGGCATGGACCACCATGCCTGGCTAATTTTTGTATTTTCAGTAGAGATGGGGTTTCACCATGTTTGCCAGGCTGGTCGCGATGTCCTGACCTCAAGTGATCCACCTGCCTTGGCCTCCCAAAGTGCTGGGATTACAGGCGTGAGCTACTGCCCCGGCCTGTTTTTTGTTGTTTTTTTTTTTTCAGACAGGGTCTTGCTCTGTCACCCACGCTGGAGGGCAGTGGTGTGATCATGGCTCACTACAGCCTTTTAATCTCCCAGGCTCAAGCGATCTTCCCACCTCAGCCTCCCAACTGGGACTATAGTAGTGCATCCCCATGCCCAGCTAATTTTTTTAAATTTTTGTAGAGACGAGGTCTCACTGTGTTGCCCAGGCTGGTCTTCAATCCTGGTCTCAAGCAGTCCTCCCTCCCTAACCTCCCAAAGTGCTGGGATTACAGGCATGAGCCACCATGCCCAGCCAATTTACATATTTTCATTTCCTTGTGACATTCCATTTGTTTAATCAAGGCTAAATGTATTATTTAAGACAATAATTAGTCTTAATGCAGAAGGACAAATGGAATGTCAGTTACTTTGCTTTTTTTTTTTTTGAGACAGCATCTCGCTCTGTCAGCCAGGCTGGAGTGCAGTGGCATGATCTTGACTCACGGCAACCTCCACCTCCTGGGTTCAAGCGATTCTCCCACCTCAGCCTCCAGAGTAGCTGGGACTACAGGCATGCGCCACCACGCCTGGCTAATATTTGTATTTTTAGTAGAGACGGGGTTTCACCTTGTTGGCCAGGCTGGTCTTGAACTCCTGACCTCAAGTGATCCATGTGCCTCAGCCTCCCAAAGTGCTGGCGTTACAGGCGTGAGTCACTGTGCCTGGCCTGCTGTTTGTTTTTTATACTGTATTCTGTAGGTATTTTTATGTACATTACACTAATGTTATTCACTCTTTGGTGACCTTGACAAAATGGAGCTACAGAGTTTGGTATAAAAAGTTCTGGGCCAGGAAACAGGAAGCCTGAATTCTGATCTCTATCCTGCTGCTACCAACTCTGGACTTCGAGTAGTCATTTAGCCTCTGAGTTCTCCTTCTTCAGTCCAAGTTATTGATAATAATCAAGCCCTTTATCATTTAGGGTCTTATTTTGCCATGGCTTTTGCTTAGTTTTGTACAGTGTATATGTCAACATGTAAAAGCCATTTCATGGTATTAAGTACTGCCCAATTTAAGTCCAAACGCAGTAGAACTGAAAACTCCGCATTGGTTGCTTTGAAATGGTCTCTCTGATGATACTGGAGTGGCAGAGTCGTTGGAGTCCAGTCTGATGCAACGAATCTCATAAAATAAATAGTCCTATAGTCCCGGCTACTCAGGGTGCTGAGGCAGGAGAGGATTGCTTGAGTCCAGAAATTTGAGACCAACCTGGGCAACATAGCAAGACCTCATCTCTTAAAAAAAAAATGGCACCAAGTAAACATTAGCTCTTTATATGGCACCAAGTAAACATTAGCTTTATAAGCCCAGTGTGAGCTAGTTAGAATTTCAGATCCTTTTCCTGCCTGCCGAAGTGAAAACTCTGCTTGGAATCTTATGTTTTATGTGCAGTATGTTCAGATTTTCTAGCTGGGATTGTCTGACGTCTAACTTGACTTTTACTCCTCTTAGTCCTCCCAAACCGAAGGACCCTGTATCTGCAGCTGTGCCAGCACCAGGGAGAAACAACAGTCAGATAGCATCTGGCCAAAATCAGCCCCAGGCAGCTGCTGGCTCCCACCAGCTCTCCATGGGCCAACCTCACAATGCTGCAGGGCCCAGCCCGCATACACTGCGCCGAGGTAAGCAGCCACCGTCCTCCTTGCCCTCAGGGAAGCCTGTGCAGACCTCCTTAAGTTAGTGCAAGGATTCAGATGGTGAGGTTTGTGGCCAGATCTTTTCTATGTCTGTTGTAAAATCCCAAGCAGAAAATTCAGTCATTCAAGAGAAAAGTCATTAAAGAAAAAGGAAAAAATAGAGAACAGAAAAGCAGACATTTAGTTTTTCCTTAGGCGTGACAAAGCTTAACAAACAGTCAGTTCTGCAGAAATGCTCCCAGTTTTCCTGGTGTCCCAAGCCCTCGCTCTGTTTGGAGACTACCACAGCCTCTGTACTTCTCAGCTTTGTGGGTCTGGGAGGCACTTTTGCTTCGGAATTGGGGTGAAGGCTTTCTAGGTCCTGATTAACAGAATCTGAACTGCTCCCACCTGTCTTCCCTGCAGTCCTCCACCCAGCAGCCAGGGGAATTGCTTTAAAACTCCAAGCAGATCATGTCGTCTCTTGGTTAAACTCTTCAGTGGCTTCCATGCGAACTTCTCACCCTGGGTTCTCTGTGCTTTGGTGGGGCCTACCTCTGAGCCCAGAGCTTACACTCCCTCCTCTCAACACACTCCACTCTTGGTTCCTTGAATGAACTAAGTTCATCCCCTCCTTAGGGCTTCCAGAACATTCTGTCCCATATCTTCACATGGTTTCTTCTTACCATTCAGGTCTCACCTCAAAAATCACTTCTTCCAGCTGGGCGTGGTGGCTCACACCTATAATCCCAGCACTTTGGGAGGCTGAGGCAGGAAGATCGCTTGAGGCCAGGAGTTGGAGACCAATCTGGTCAACATAGTGAGAGCCCACCTCTACAAAAAAAATTTTAAAAATTATCTGGGTGTGGTGACACACACCTATAGTCCCAGCTACTCAGGAGGCTGAGGCAGGAGGATCACTTGAGCCCAGGAGGTCGAGCCTGCAGTGAGCTATGATTGCACCACCGCACTCCAGCCTGGACAACAGAGTGAGACCCCATCTCTAAAATAAAAAAGAGAGGCCAGGCGCAGTGGCTCACACCAGTAATCCCAGCACTTTGGGAGGCCGGGGTGGGTGGATCACTTGAGCCAGGAGTTCAAGCCTGGCCAACATGGTGAAACCCCATCTCTACTAAAAATACAAAAATTAGCCGGGCATGGTGCTTGCACGCCTGTGGTCCCAGCTACTCAAGAGGCTGAGGCAGGAGAATTGCTTGAACCTGGGAGGCAGAGGTTGCAGTGAGCCAAGATTGTGCCACTGCACCCCAGCCTGGCCAACAGAGCAAGACTCTGTCCCGAAAAAAGAAAAAAAAATGGATTAAATTCACTGTGTCTGTCTATAGAAGCATGGTCTTTACAAAGCACTACACAAATGTTAGTGGAATTTCTACAAATCATAGGCAGGGAGGCAAATCCGAGTCCACTGCTTGGTTGCAGACCCCCACTTTATTCTTCTTCAGGCTGCCTCTCTGGGCCCTGTCATCTTATCAGGATCTCAGCTGATCCTTGAGGGAAGTTAGTCTTCTGGACCTAGATTCCAGGTGTGACTCTGGTTTTGGATTAAGAAGACTCTTTTCCTTATAGCCGCATTCAGAGTCTTTCATGCTTCCCGAAATCACAGCTCCCAGGCTTCTTCGCAGGATGGGTTTGATTCTTTTTTCCTTCCCCACCCCCTGCGCCTCTGAGGTGGTCTCAGACAAGGCCTCCATTTCTCCCAGCCCCCTCCCCCTGACACTTTGCTCCCACGCTCCCTCTCCCCATCCTCTTCACACCCTTAAATTTCAGGAACGAGCTTTTATTCAGTATGACTTTACAATTAGTATTGCTTAGAACAGAAAACTAGACTTTTTTTTTAAATGCCGATGGCAGTCTGGAGTACAGCTAATGTAAGCTGGTTGGTGGTTTCTGAGTTCCAGGGTTGAAAGTTCCAGACCAGTGTAGCAGAGTAGACTTTACCCTTTTTTCTTTTTTTTTTTCCTTTCTTATGTTTTTTAGAGGCAGGGTCTCGTTTTCTCACCCATGCTGGAATGCAGTGGCGTGATAATAGCTCACTGCATCCTCCAGCCACTGGACTCAAGTGATCCTCCCACTTTGGCCTCTCAAAGTGCTGGTACTACAGGCACATGCCACCATGCCTGGCTGCTTTATTTTTTTGTAGAGTCGGGGTCTCACTGTGTTGCCCAGGCTGGTCTTGAGTGATCTTCCTGCCTCAGCCAGTCAGAGTGCTGGGAATACAGGCATGAGCCACCGAGACTTTACCCTTTTCAATCCTGAATTCTGGGCCCTGTAAACAGGCAGCCGGGGAATAGGGGAAGGAGGAAGAGGAAAAAGCATTCAGGGAGTCCACATGTCATGGGCAGGAGTCTCAGTTCTGCCCCTTACTAGCTGTGTGACCTATTACCAAACACTGGCCCTCTTCAAGCCTCAGTTTTCTTCTCTGTGAAAATGGGGATAACAGAGCTTGCCCTGCAATGAGCTTATGAAACTTGAATGAGATAATTTATATAAATTATAATGTGCATAATTTATATAAAAGGCCTTACTTGGTACTGGTGATAAGAGTGATACATGTTCATTTCTTTCCTTCATTTCCTTCTCCTTCTTTCTTAGAGAACCAGTAGGATCTTAGCAGAGTTTGAAAAAGGCTAAAATCTCTCCTTTCCCCCTACCCCTCCCAGCCCAAAACCAGAGCCCCAGATCTGTTGTTTTCCCTCCTGCCCTCATCAGTCCCAGGTTCCTATCCCTGATCTCAGCTGGTGTAGGGAGGAGAGTGATGTGATTCAGCTCTCTTTAGAGAAATAATTCTAAGGCAACTCTTCCAGATTTATTCATGCTTTTGTCCAGGACATATCTATTAACTCAAATGGTTGCGGAATTGGTAGAAATTCTGTTATTAAGACCAATCAAACCAATCAAACTCTCAAGGAGAAGGTGGCTTGGGATCAGGGGTCATGTTATATCAGGGTGAACTAGTCATGCTTGGTGGTCCCTCCTGGCTGTTCTGCCTCTTTCTGCGTCTTCCCATGGGGCCCTAATGAGGAGGCTGCTAAGTGGGCTGAGGGCAGCACTTCCGTGTCATTGGGGTGGCCTCTGTTAACAGTTTTCTTCTTATTGAACTTTCAAAACGATAGGCCTTTAAAGCCCTTTCAAATGTGCATAATGTACTTAATTTTTAAAATAAACTTGTTTGTTTGGAGTAATTTTGAATTTATAGAAAAGTTGCAAAGATAATGCTGAGAGTTCCCATATGCCCCTTACTCAGTTTCCCCTGTTGTTAATGTGTTACATGACCATGGCACATTTACCCCAGCTCAGAAGTCAACATTGGGCTAGTCCCCCCATCCCCCCCAACTTTTTTTTTTTTTTTGAAATGGTCTCACTCTGTTGCCCAGGCTGGAATTCAGTGGTGTGATCACTGCAGCCTTGGACTTCCCAGGCTCATGGGATCCTCCCACCTCAGCCTCATGAGTAGCTGGGATTACAGGCGCATGCCACCACGCCCGGCTAATTTTTGTAGTTTTTTGTAGAGATGGGGTTTTGCCACGTTGCTCAGGCTGGCCTTGAACTCCTGCACTCAAGTGATCCGCCTGCTTTGGCCTCCCAAAGTGCTGAGATCACAGGCGTGAGCCACTGCACCTTGCGGTTCATTACCATTAACTAGACTCCACATTTTGTTCAGATTTCCCTAGTTTTTCCACTCATGTCCATTTTCTGTCCCAGGATCTCATCCAGGAGCCCACATTATATGTAGTCATCGTATCTTCTTCGTCTCCTGCTGTCTGTGACATGTTCTCCGTCTTTCTGTGCTTTTCTATGGCCTTGATGGTTTTGGAGAGTACTGGTCAGGCATTTTGAAGAAAGGCCTTCAATTTGTGTTTGTCAGATGTTCTTCTGATGGGTTATGGGCTTTGGGGAGGAAGACACAGTGTGGTGCCCTCCTGACCACCTCTCATCAGAGGTACATGATGCTGGTGTACCTTATTACTGGTGATGTTAAATTTGGGCTCCTGGCCAGGGTTGGTTGCTGCCTCACTGTTCCTACTGAAAGGTGTTTTTTCTCTTTTTGTGCAGCTGTTAAAAAACCCGCTCCAGCACCCCCGAAACCGGGCAACCCACCTCCTGGCCACCCCGGGGGCCAGAGTTCTTCAGGAACATCTCAGCATCCACCCAGTCTGTCACCAAAGCCACCCACCCGAAGCCCCTCTCCTCCCACCCAGCACACGGGCCAGCCTCCAGGCCAGCCCTCCGCCCCCTCCCAGCTCTCAGCACCCCGGAGGTACTCCAGCAGCTTGTCTCCAATCCAAGCTCCCAATCACCCACCGCCGCAGCCCCCTACGCAGGCCACGCCACTGATGCACACCAAACCCAATAGCCAGGGCCCTCCCAACCCCATGGCATTGCCCAGTGAGCATGGACTTGAGCAGCCATCTCACACCCCTCCCCAGACTCCAACGCCCCCCAGTACTCCGCCCCTAGGAAAACAGAACCCCAGTCTGCCAGCTCCTCAGACCCTGGCAGGGGGTAACCCTGAAACTGCACAGCCACATGCTGGAACCTTACCGAGACCGAGACCAGTACCAAAGCCAAGGAACCGGCCCAGCGTGCCCCCACCCCCCCAACCTCCTGGTGTCCACTCAGCTGGGGACAGCAGCCTCACCAACACAGCACCAACAGCTTCCAAGATAGTAACAGGTAAGTAGGACATCAATGCCCGTATTTCCTCGTCTGCTCTACATTGCTTTTGTACTACTACATTTTATTTAAGCTTTGATTTATGCCAGGTGTCAGCAAACTACACCCGCAAGCCAAACCAAACCTGTCCTGCAGCCAGTTTTTGTCATTAAAGTTTTATTGGAACACAGCTACACCCATTTGTTAACATATTGTCTGTGGCTGCATTGGTGCTGAAACAGCAGAGCTGGGTAGTCGTGACCAAAGATCCTGTGGCCCACAAAGTTGGAAACATTTACTGCCTGGTCCTTTAAGTTTGCCGACCCCTGACTTATAGTTGCTTGTGTGTTTAAGACCTATGTACGTTTACATTTTTCTCAACATAATGGCTTTTATTCCAGGTGGAAGGTATTTTACAACACGAGCATGAACTTTATTTCTTAGTGAATTCCTCATTAAAATGCTTAAACAGTACTTCTAAGAGTAAAAGTGTTCATATTAAGTACAGAATTTCAGGTATAACTTTAAAAAACATGATTTATGCCAAATTGAATGCTCCAGAAGGGAGATCTCAGGGCACTGTCATGTTCTAATGGCTTGGGAGGGAAGAATCAAGATTTTCCTGTAGACCCAGTGGGAACCTGTTTGGAAGTGGTGGTGATTGTACAGGTTTTAGTGGGCTACCTAATGGCATATTTTTAATAGTCTAGAACATGACCATTTTATTTAACATTTCAAGAATATTTCCATCCCAAATGCTCTAATTTATTATTTAATTTAAGGATGAATATGGGGGTTTCTAGTGTGTTTTTAAAAATGGTAATTAGGGGCCTCAAATAATTTCTTACAGCAGCCTAGTTTAAATTGTTCTAAGTGGAGGCACTTTCGGAAAAGAAGCTGAAATACACCTCTGGGCTTTCCAACCATATTGAGTGACTTTGCAGCTAAAAATGTGCCAAGGTTTCCATTAACCCAAAGGGTGACGGTTAACTGATTCTAACAGCTTTTGATAACTTTTTTCAGGAATATAATACATAATTTGCACATGTTATAAATGGTTAATAACTTTTTTTCTGATGCCATCAGAGCTTTTATTTTGAAAACAACAAAGCCATGTTGGTTTGTTTGTTTTGTTTCCCAATAGATGCCCTTCCTAGTGCCCTCACAGGTGGGGAAGGTTTCCAGGACTAAGGTCTGTAATGGCCCCGAGCAGCTTGCCCCATAGCTCGCCCCACAGCTCCAAATGCTCCTGCTTAGCCGTGTTTTGCATATGTGCTTTTGACCATGTGCTCAGGAGCAGCCGTTTGACCGTGTGCCCTGACAGCCAATAGGCCATCCATTCTGTAGCATATTGACATTTCTTTATTTTTATCAGAAGCACTTTGAGCTGCAGTGCTTCAAATTCGAGGAGTAGATGTCAGTAGATCAAGAGCCTGATTTCAAGCTGCTCTTGAAGAGTATCTTCTTTCTTAGGGGCCAAGCACAGTGGCTCGTGCCTCTAATCCCAGTACTTTGAGTGGCTGAGGCAAGAGGATTGCTTGAGCTCAGGAGTTCGAGACTGCAGTGGGTAGTGATTGTGTCACTGCACACTGCAGTCCAGCCTGCATGACAGAGTGAGACCCTGCCTCTTTTTAAAAAAAAAAAAAAAAAGGAATATCTTCTATCTTTTTGGTGAGCCTCTTAGCAGCAGTCTACTCTTCCCAGTGTGATTTACCTGTCACTGATGGGCTCACCAGCATCCAACCAAAGAGGACCCAGGTGCAGTCAGCACGGGAGGAAATTGTGTCCTTTGTGTCTTGAGCTTTAATTTTAAATTTTTGTATTTTAAGTGCAAGTTAACTGCATGGAGCTTCTTAATTTGATATTTTAAATTCTCAAGACCAAAAAATTAAAAAAAATCTTCCGCCAAATACCCTACACTGAATTATTTTAAATTCCTTTGCATCCTAGCATGCTTACGTTTTGCTTTATTAAACCATATGAGCTTTTTAAAAGGCACTGTGAGCTCATCTAAGTCTGCCGCTGGGTCTACATGTGGACAGCATAAGGCCCTCATCATATGTACAGCTGCTTTAATCAGCTGGCCTGAGCCTTAGGCCTACTGTGGGCCCCTTAGCCAGAGTGCTCACAGCTTAGGTCTGAGTAAGACTTTCTGTAGGAACCGTAAGTGGAAAACCAGAGTGTAGCCTTCAAAACAGGGAGGAGGCCCGGGTGCGATTCCACAATTTCATGCTTGTGACACACCAAAATGTTATTATCAGATATTTCCTTTTATTTAAATGAAAGATTGCAAACCAGAATTATGCCTATTTTTTAATACCATTGTTACCCGGGGTGTATTTATTCCACAAGTTTAGTTTACTGATCTGCTACAACACTGTAATATACTGCCTGTAATTATTAGATAAGTGAAATTTTACATTAAAAATGTGTTTCCCGAAGATACTAGCTATTTAAAAACCGGTCTATGCTATGAATTCTCCTAACTCAAGAAATTCCAGGTTACCAGAGTTATCTTTGTATTACAGAATTAACCTGTACTATCTTAAAATCCCCTGGCCTCCCACTGAAAGTACACAGAAGGCCAACATTTAGAATTTTTTAATCTGCTAGTATTGATCATACTGCTATTAACCATTCTTGGATGTAGCCATTGGGTTTTTCAAGGAGGAAAAAATATATAACTTCCTTGGACAGGATGGTCCTTTATTATGACATAATGTTTTCACTTAGAAAACTTTAGATGGACAAATTCCTGAAAACAGGTTATTCCTTTAGAATTGGATTAAGTTAGAGTTTTAAAGAGTTGGGTTAAGGCTAATGGGATTAAGATAAACTCTTGGGGGGAGATTATTGCTGCCAAGCAGGTTTGGCAGCCAACTTCTCACAGCTCAGCACCAGCACTGGAGGATGCCGGCATTCTGGCATCATTTTGAGTCTCCTGTTAATTGTGACTCTAGAGAGCAGTAAGAGTTTTAATTCCCATGTAAAAGAGTTTACATCTTGCTATTTTTGAAGTAATAGATTTTAGCAAAGAGTATTCTAATTTAAACATTTTATTAAATAATTTAGATGTATGACCTGCCATATTCAGTAAGAACTGAGATTGGAATATTTAATGGTAAGGAAAAGGCACCTGATTGGCCAATGCATTTTTGCTACTTGATGATCATATTTGTGCACTCATGCCTGTTACTAACTGGCCACCCTAACCCTGCCTGCTTGCATCCCTACTAATAGTGCATGCACTGAAGGAGGACTGGCTTTGTTGATGCTTGCTGCAATGATTCGGAATACTAAGTGTGTACCCAGATGTGGAACAGGTGGTCACAGGGCTGTCCTTGTTACTTCTTTAATTTCCATTCTTTTCCATATCAGGCAAGCTTGAGGTATAGTAGGAAGAACACACATTATGGAGTCAGACCTGACTGAGTTAGAATTTCAGCTCTTGGTATAACATAGGCTAGGCACAACCTGGCTGATCTGTAAAGTGGTGACATCTGTCTAAATTGTTGAAGATGAAATAAGAGAAAGTCCAAGATTATTCTGTTAGCCAGTTACAGTTCTTAATATACGCGCAATCTCGGCTCACTGCAAGCTCCGCCTCCCAGGTTCAAGCAATTCTCCTGCCTCAGCCTCCTGAGTACCTGGGATTATAGGCGCCTGCCACCACATCTGGCTATTTTTTTTATTTTTAGTAGAGACGGGGCTTCACCATGTTGGCCAGGCTGGTCTCGAACTCCTGACCTTAGGTGATCCGGCCTCCTCAGCCTCCCAAAGTGCTGGGATTATAGGTGTGAGCCATTGTGCCTGGCCTGCTATTTATCATTTTTATCTAGAAGAAAATAGTTTTAATCAGATTTCTATGTTAGATTCACATATCAGGGTTTTAAAAACTCATACGCCCGGACCCGGCCTTCTAGGACCCAAACACAGGAGACTGGGGGTGGAACCCAGGTATCCATATTTTGATTCTGATGCACCACTTGGTTTTTTGAATCTCACTTCTTTCATGGGTTAAAAAGACAATGCTCTGCAGAAGGAGATAACATATACATTCATATAATTTAGTGAGCCTGAGACTGTCTGTGAGGCGTTAGTCCACTGTACCACAGATAGACCAAATCACTCACAAAGTAGCCATAAGCCTGGACACTTTGCTGGCTAATTTCATAGTGTTTGCTTTTTAAACTCTCACCCTTCTTATGTCATGTAAGTAATGCCTTTTTAAAAATAAGCATGAGCTGGGGCACGGTGGCTCACGCCTGTAATCCCAGCACTTTGGGAGGCTGAGGCGGGTGGATCACTTGAGGTCAGGAGTTCAAGACCAGCCTGGCCAACATGGGGAAACCCCATCTCTACTGAAAATACAAAAAGTTAGCTGGGTGTCGTGGTGGGTGCCTGTAATCCCAGCTACTTGGGAGGCCAAGGCAGGAGAACTGCTTGAACCCAGGAGGTGGAGGTCGCAGTGAGCTGAGATCGTGCCACTACACTCCAGCCTGGGTGACAGAGTGAGACTCTGTCTCAAATAAATAAAAATAAGCATGGATATTAAAACTCTTGAGAAATGGAAATAATAAGAAATCAACTGTAGCTATACAATTGAAAAAGTCTGCCATTTATATTCTACTTTTTTTCTTTTCTCCTCTTCTCTTCTCTTCTCTTCTCTTTTCTTTTCTTTTCTTTTTTTTTTTTCAGACGGAGTCTCACTCTGTTCCCCAGGCTGGAGTGCAGTGGCACGATCTTGGCTCACTGCAAGCTCCGCCTCCTGGGTTCACACCATTCTTCTGCCTCAGCCTCCCGAGTAGCTGGGACTACAGGCGCCCACCACCACGCCCAGCTAATTTTTTGTATTTTTAGTAGAGACAGGGTTTCACCATGTTAGCCAAGATGGTCTCGATCTGCTGACCTTGTGATCTGCCCGTCTCGGCCTCCCAAAGTGCTGGGATTACAGGCGTGAGCCACCACACCCGCCCCTTTTTTTCTTTTAGTTTTTCTAGAAGGCAAGGAGGTACATGAGCATAATTATTTGACATAGACAGATTTGGATCCTTTTATTTCACTTTACATCATATGCTCGTTCTCATGTGATAATGTAATTTTTAGAACCATGTTTTTCAGTGACTACATAATGTTTCATCAACCAGATGTATTATTACTCCTAGTTGGATATTTAAGTGGCTTCTGTTTCTACTTGCAGTTTATTTTTAATAAGTAGATAATCAGAATTGTGTCAAGATAACATCCAGTGAGACTTGAACAGAATCACTCCTGAATAGTTGACTCAGAGTCTCTAATAGCCCTAGAAAACTGACGAGAAATCATCAGTTCCTGATAAAATTACACAATTCTACTTCAACCAAAGAGGATCAAAGCCAGATTGGTTGGACTGTCATTCTTCTGTTTATTTATTTTGTGTATTTTTTGAGACAGAGTCTTGCTCTGTCACCCAGGCTGGAGTGCAGTGGTGCAATCTTGGCACACGGCAACCCCTGCCTTCCTGGTTTAAGCAGTTCTCTTGCCTCAGCCTCCCAAGTAGCTGGGATTATAGGCAGGTGTGGCAACACCTGGCTGATTTTTGTATTTTTAGTAGAGACAGGGTTTTGCCATATTGGCCAGGCTGGTCTCCAACTCATGACTTCAAGTGATCCACTCACTTCTGCCTCCCAAAGTGCTAGGATTACAGGCATGAGCCACCGCACCTGGCCCCATCATTCTTAATCACCCTAACATTTTCCCTCTTTCCCAAAAGAGTTGTGTATATCCTTGGGTGAGGATCCTGAAAGTGAAGACATTATCTGAGGAAATAATGGTTTGGGTCTTAAACACTCTGGTTAGAGCTAAGTTTATATGACAGGTATTACATTGTAAAAAGGAGAAAAAGGTTATTTTAGAAAGACACCTGTTAGAACCTGCTTTTTTTTTTATTTTTTTTTATTTTTGAGACTGAGTCTTACCCCGTTGCTCAGAATGGAATGCAGTGGTGCGATCTCAGCTCACTGTGACCTCCACCTCCCAGGTTCAAGCGATTCTCCTGCCTCAGCCTCCTGAGTAGCTGGGATTACAGGCACTCACTACCGTGCTCGGCTAATTTTTGTATTTTTAGTATAGACGGGGTTTCACCATGTTGGCCAGGCTGGTCTTGAACTCCTGACCTCAGGTGATCTGCCTGCCTCGGCCTCCCAAAGTGCTGGGATTACAGGCATGAGCTACCACACCCAGCCAGAACCTGCTTTCTAAAAGCACCCTAAACCTCTTTGGTTGTGAATTTATATATTCTCTGCCTTCCAAGGGCTGGTCTTTGAGGATATTGCTTGGAACTAAGTTCATACAGTAGATATTTTATTTAAAAAAAAAAAAAACAGAAAAGAGACCTCCAATAAAAGGTTTCTTTTTTGTCTGATTTTTTGCTTTTTTTTAATTTTGAAATATAATACTTGTCATATAAACTTAGCTCCAAGCAGTATGCTCAAAGACCAGCCCTTCTTGGAATGCAAATAATATATAAATTCATAGCCAGAGACGTTTAGAGGTGTTTAAAGAAAACCAGGTTCTTACAAGTGTCTTTCTAAAATAACCTTTATCTCTTTTTTACAACAATCAACCAGAGTGTTTAAGACTCAAACCGTTCACTGGTGAAGGAAGGCATTCCCTGAGACTCTAGGTCTGAGAAGAGGGATGGGTGGTGGAGAGGGGGAGGGAGTTTATTCGCCCTGCAGTTGTGCCTGCACCACTTACTTTCAAGGGCATATTTGGATCTGTTACTTGTCAAAGTGGCTATCAGAATCACCTTGGACTTCTTGAAGGGTGAGTTCACAACCGAGAAAGCACATATTCAAAATTGTTGAAGTAATAAGTAAATCTTCTAGAACCTTACCCTCAGTGATAACATTCCACTTCTAGCTCTTAAATACCCACTTCTGTTTCCTGGATGAGATACTCAGTGCAGGAAGGAACCTGGGTTACATTTGTCAGAGCCCCAAATCTGAGATGAACTGTATCAAGTTCTGCCTTTGGGCTGAGGCTGGTTACTGGAGGTCATCCTCTGTTTCTCTCTTTTTTTTTTTTTTTTTTTTTAAAAAAAAGAGAGACAGGGTCTTGCTCTGTTGCCCAGGCTAGAGTGCAGCGGTGTGATTCCAGTCCACTGCAGCCTTGACCTCCTGGGCTCAAGCGAATCTCCCAAGTAGCTGGAAGGTGGAACTAGAGGCATGCACCACCACACCCGGCTAATTTTTGTGTTTTTCTTATAGAGACGGAGTCTCATGTTGCCTGGGCTGGTCTCGAACTTCTGGGCTCACACCATCATCCCACCACGCCCAGCCTATTTTGTTTTTTTAAATACAATATCTTTTGTATGAACTTAGCTCCAAGCATATGCTCAGAAACCAGCCCTTCTTGGAGTGCAGTTAATATACGAGTTCATAGCCAGAAAGATTTAGAGGTGTTTCAGACAAACCAGGTTCTTACAGGTGTCTTTCTGAAATAACCATTTTCTCCTTTTTACAACAAACCAGAGTGTTTGTAAGACTGAAACAATGATCTTGGATAATGTCTTTGAAGGCCCTCACCCAGGGATTTACAGACTCCTCTGGGGAGGAGGGAAAATGTAATGCGAAGAGCCAGAGTGCAACCAATCTGGCTTTGATCCTCTTTGGTCCACACTGGCTGTGTCACCTTGGGCAAGGAATAGAGCCTCTGAGTCTCCCTTTCTTATTTCTGCTGCCTTAGGATTAGTTAGTGGGGGTTCAGTGAGACGATGTAATAAAGTGTGGGTGTATAGTACAGTCTCTGGTGTAAGTAAGTGCTCTATAGTAATGTCAGCTACTGAGGCTGGGTGTGGTGGCTCATGCTGGTAATCCCAGCACTTTGGGGAGCCGAGGTGGGAGGATTGCTTGAGGCCAGGAGTTCAAGACCAGCCCAGTCAACATGGTGAAACCTTGTCTCTACCAAAAATAAAAAAAATTAGCCAGGCATGGTGGCGTATGCTTGTAGTCCTAGCTACTCGGGAGGCTGAGGTGGGAGGATCAGTTGAGCCCAGGAGGTGGAGGCTGCAGTGAGCTGAGATTGCACGACTGCACTCCAGCCTGGGCAAAAGAGCAAGACCCCATCTCAAAAAAAAAATTTTTTTTTTTAATGTTAGCTACTGTGATGAAGTCTCTTTCTGAAAACTGGTTCTGTACAGGTTGCCGTAATTCTTTCTACTTTTTGTGTGTAAACAAAGTCATTGTTTCTTTCAGGGACTGATTCATGTAGGAATAGAGAGGGGCTGGGGAAACCAGATGGGGCAGGTGGGCGGCAGAGTAAGGGATTTCCTTTATGCCCCAAAACACATTTTTTCCCCTTGAATTAATAATGTGTGTGGATCATAAATAGAAAAATTCAGAGAGGCACAAATCTAAAAATTATGTATATGTGATGTATAAGAAAAAGAGAGCAGCTGTGGAGGGGCTTGGTGGCTGATAGGCGTTAGCTTGCATGTGAATACAGATATTAACAAGTAGAAATCTCATCCGTATACACAGTGCCTTTGCATCATGCATTCCCCGCCAAGTCATGTCGGTTCCATAGTTTCTGGTAAACTCTGGGCTGAGAAGAGACACGGGCTGGTAGCCCCTTCTGTTTTTGGGGGCCAAGATAATGGGGAAAGGATTGCATTTGCAGTGATTTTCTTATACGTCGTCTTCAAGTCACAGCTACTTCTTTGCCTGAGGATGTAAGAATGGAGGATTGGAAAGATGGTTGCTCTAGATGACTCTTCATGCATCCATCCAACCATCCAAGTGTGCAGCTACAAAATTTCTTGAACATCTGCTATTTGCCGGTCACTGTTTTAGGTACTGAGGATACACTGTGAACAAGACAGACACAGTCCCTGCCTTCGTTGACTTCTGTTCTGCTTAGGACAAATCCAAGACAGCCCCTATTCTGTGCATACAGACCACCTTTGGCTGCACCATAGGCTGGTGCAGTTCTGCACAGTGTCATTGGTTTTATAGTTATCACAAGACCTGAATTGTCTGAAATGACATTCAGCACCTGAACTCTTTGACACTTTGGCACCTCCATAAATCTAGAAATTTCTCTGAGTTGTGGTGCATAGGAAACCTTGAGGGACAACCCAGGAGTAACTGTGAGAAAAAGGGTGTCCCAGGGAGTAAATAGATCTCACAGCTCAGAACTGTAGGGACAGGAAGGTGGAAGGGGTAGGAGCTGGAACAAGTCTCCAAGCAGTGAGCTTCCCCAAAGTGCACCAGCGTTTTCAAGCTGTGCCTGCGTAGACGGGAGCAGGTCGAACAGAAATATAGTCAAAACTAGCTCCCGTCAAGGACAGACAGGATGTCATTTTGCACCACAGCAAGTAGGGGAAAGCAGCTCTCAAGCCTAACTGTGAAACGCCCCCACAAACCACCTCCTCCTCCCACTCCCTCACTGCTGCCTGCCATGGCTACCTCTAACGCAGCAAAGCAAAACTACAAAACATCTCTCTTCTCTCTTACACCAGCCCTAAAATACCTAATGAGGCTCTCATAATTTGCCAGAACCCACATCTACGAGAGAAGCCAGCCCTTTTGTCTTAATTAGGATCCCCTTGGTCTGCCCACTTGACCGTGGGCTTCATTGAGGCTGTGCCTGTCTTGTTCAGTGCTGCGTCCTCAGCAGGTAGAATGGTGCCTGGCACCTGGGAGGTGCTCAGTAAATATTTGTTCATGCATAAATGAATCTGAGACCCACTGGCCTCTGGGAAGAGCATAGGAGAGGGGGACAACAGCATGAGGACCATATGTTTGCCATCTTGCTGAAGGAATTTCAGCCAACATAATAAGACATGAAAATGGCATTCGAGGTGTATTAGACAGACAAGGGGATGTTAGTGTTTGCAGGAGACTTGGTCTGCCTCAGTGATGTCAGTCAGCAGTGATTGTGATTCCCCAGGGGACACTCGGCAGCATCTGGAGACATTTTAGTTTAAACTTCCCCAGTGATCTGTGATGTACAGGAGACACTTTCGGTTGTCACACTGGGGGAGGAGGCTGCATGTCACTGGCATCTGTTGGGTGACACCTACAATGCACAGGACAACCACAACAAATAATTCAGGCCCAAATGTTGCTGGTGCTGAGGGTGAGGTCCTAGTGTTAGTAACAGGAGGAAAACCCAGCAGTCTGGAGGAGAGACCTCTTCCCAGGGCAGCCCAGGGGCCATCAGGAGGGTTCATCTCATGCATTAGAGGTCTTGGGAAGAATGAGGCTTCCTTTCCTCCATCAAAGCAAGCAAATCCTTTAAAAGCTGCATCTCCAAGGGCTGCTCCGGGCTCATAGCAAGCAACGTCGGAGCCCAGAGGCAAGGCTGTGCTACTCAGCTGCCCTCTGGGGTCACAAAGGCTTCACTTGGCTTCTAAGAGCTGATGAGGCCTCTCGCAAGGGACCCTGTGTGCATGGGCTGACCCTGAAACTTCCCAGCCTCTCTTCTTCTCAGAGCACCCTCAGGTGGCCTCTCGGGGGTTACCCCTCATTGATACCATGTCTCCTCGTGTTTTTGTCCAGACTCCAATTCCAGGGTTTCAGAACCGCATCGCAGCATCTTTCCTGAAATGCACTCAGACTCAGCCAGCAAAGACGTGCCTGGCCGCATCCTGCTGGATATAGACAATGATACCGAGAGCACTGCCCTGTGAAGAAAGCCCTTTCCCAGCCCTCCACCACTTCCACCCTGGCGAGTGGAGCAGGGGCAGGCGAACCTCTTTCTTTGCAGACCGAACAGTGAAAAGCTTTCAGTGGAGGACAAAGGAGGGCCTCACTGTGCGGGACCTGGCCTTCTGCACGGCCCAAGGAGAACCTGGAGGCCACCACTAAAGCTGAATGACCTGTGTCTTGAAGAAGTTGGCTTTCTTTACATGGGAAGGAAATCATGCCAAAAAAATCCAAAACAAAGAAGTACCTGGAGTGGAGAGAGTATTCCTGCTGAAACGCGCATAGGAAGCTTTTGTCCCTGCTGTTAATGCGGGCAGCACCTACAGCAACTTGGAATGAGTAAGAAGCAGTGCGTTAACTATCTATTTAATAAAATGCGCTCATTATGCAAGTCGCCTACTCTCTGCTACCTGGACGTTCATTCTTATGTATTAGGAGGGAGGCTGCGCTCCTTCAGACTTGCTGCAGAATCATTTTGTATCATGTATGGTCTGTGTCTCCCCAGTCCCCTCAGAACCATGCCCATGGATGGTGACTGCTGGCTCTGTCACCTCATCAAACTGGATGTGACCCATGCCGCCTCGTTGGATTGTCGGAATGTAGACAGAAATGTACTGTTCTTTTTTTTTTTTTTAAACAATGTAATTGCTACTTGATAAGGACCGAACATTATTCTAGTTTCATGTTTAATTTGAATTAAATATATTCTGTGGTTTATATGAAAACTTCATAATTCTTGGAGGTAAATTGTGGAGTGTGTGTGTGTGTGTGTGCATGAGTGTGTGTGTGTTGCCACTCAACCAGATAGAATTGTGGCTGGGACATCTTGGGGGAGAGGGTCTAATTGTAGCTGTAGGAGTTTGAAGAAACAGAGAGCAAGGTCGCAACAGTGAAAAAGGCCGCCAGGTGCCCCAAAGACCTCCTAGCCTGGCCATCCTCAGTGCAGGTTCTGGTCAAGGCTGCACCCTTGGTCCTCCCAGTGCTGGCATCCCTTTCTTTCCATCTAGAGATACTCAGACTCCCGGGGGCAGCTCACAGGAGTTCAGCCCCACCGGGTTGGTGCATTCGTCAGCAGTTGTGAATTGCCATAGAGAGCCCTTTTTCCAATGGCTGGTGCTTTCATGCCCTATCCAAGGCGTGAAAATTATCCCGTCTCTCCCAGGATTGAAATACTAGGGAAGAGCCGATGGGGAATTGGAGCAAAGCGAGACTGAGGCTCTGGACAGCTGGTCTGACGATAGCACGACCCCTTGGCCCAGATAAGGCCGTTTTCTCTTGGGAACAGAGTGGGACACGCTGCCAGAGTTGGCTGCCCTGAGCCTTCTATTGATCGAGTTTGCTAGGTGTGTCAGTGTCTAAGTCACTGCCTAGAAGACACTGGGCCTCTTTCCACTACGAACTGACTTAAGCCTGATTTAAAAAGGGGAACCACAGTTTCCTTTTGTTGTTTTTTTGAAACAGATCTCACTCTGTGGCCCAGGCTGGAGTGCAGTGGCACAATCATAACTCACTGCAGCCTCCAAACTCCTAGGCTCAAATGATCCTCCCAACTCAGCCTCCCAAGTAGCTGAGACTACAGGTGCATGGCAATACACCCAACTAATTTTTAAATATTTTTTTTTCTAGAGACAGGGATCTTGCTGTGTTGCCCAGGCTGGTCTTACAATTCTGGCCTCACGCAATCCTCCCACTTCAGCCTCCGAAAGTGCTGGGATTACAGGCGTGAGCCACCATGCCCAGCCCACATTTTCATCTTTACTCAGTTTCCTATGCCCTCAAAGTACTCCCTATACTTATTAATTACCTTCAAAATATGCTCCTGTAAGCCCATTTGCTCCCATATCTTGAATTTTCATTGGCTTAAGGCTCACTCTTCCCCTGTGCCACCTGTGTATTGTTAATTTTCTATACCCTCCTTTAGCCACAGAACAAACCCTGCAGAGAAAGAATCCTCTGTGTAGGCTGATGCTCCATGTTGAGCACCTTCTCCAGGCGCCTGGCTGTCCACGGTCAGGTGTCTCCATGGAGCCTCGGAGATGCTCCCATCGTGATGCCTGAGCTTGTCCTCCAGAGGAAGCAGGGACTTGGGCGCTTGTCAAGGAGATGCTGTTGGCACCTGGGGATGAGAAACATCCATGCTGACATCCTGCCCAGCATATAGCATGTGTTCATCATTGCTGATTCTGAAATACAGCAAACCATACCTCATTATTTTAAGAGCCTCATTCAGTTTTTACTCTCCTATTGTTTGCAGCAATCTTCCTACCCTGACAGCTGCAAACTTCAAAACAATGAAAGTCATTTGACTCTGTGTATGTGTCAAAGGTAAAGACCACACTTTGGGAGGCCGAGGCGGGCAGATCACTTGATGTCAGGAGTTCAAGACCAGCCTGGTCAACATGGTGAGACCCCATGTCTACTAAAGATACAAAAAATTAACTTGGCATCGTGGTGGGTGCCAGTAATCCCAGCTACTTAGGAGGCTGAGACAGGATAATCACTTGAACCTGGGTGACAGAGACTACAGTGAGCCCAGATCAAGCCAGTGCACTCCAGCCTGGGCAACAAAGTGAGACTCTGTCTCAAAAAAAACAAAAACAAAAAAAACCCAGAACTGTCTAGGGTGGGATACATGGCTGAGCATCCCACCGGCAGGGCCAGGAGAGGCACCTGGATCCTCTTTCCCGTTCTGTGGCCCGGGATTCCTTCTGCTGGAGGCGTTGTACTGTGTTGGCACTGTACGTTAGGCACACCATTTCCAGCCTGCCCACCGTCAGAGAGGCAGAGAATCTGAACCCATAGTGGCCATTTCTGGCTGTCCAGAAGGGCACTGGCCATCTGCCCTTCAGATTGTTTCCTTCCCTTCTCTACACAGTAGTTTCTTATAGAATGTTCTAGGCCCTTGCGCTCAGACTTCGTGTCCCTGCTCCCCCACCTGCACCAAACCTCCTTGGTCAGGCACCGGTTCCTCTCACTACCCCCTGTGGTTTAGCACTCACCTAGCATTCTGGAAGGAGCTTGTCCTGCACCCAGCACTGTGGAGACTGCAGAGGCTCAGAGTAGAGCCCTGGCTGCCTTGGTTTTGCCGAGTTCCACCCTGTGGTCATTCCAAGAGTTCAGATGCGCTGGGTGTGGTGGCTCATGCCCATAATCCCAGCACTTTGGGAGGTCGAGGTGGGTGGATCACGGGGTCAGGAGTTTGAGACCAGCCTGGCCAACATGGCAAAACCCATCTCTTCTTAAAAAAAAATTATATATATGTGTGTGTGTGTGTGTGTGTGTGTGTGTGTGTGTGCGCGTGTATGTGTATATATATATATATATATATACACATACACACAAAAAAAATTAGCCAGGCGCAGTGGCTCATGCCTGTAATCCCAGCACTTTGGGAGGTCGAGGTGGGCGGATCACGGGGTCAGGAGTTTGAAGCCAGCCTGCCCAACATGGCAAAACCCCATCTCTTCTAAAAAAAAAAATTATATGTGTGTGTGTGTGTGTGTGTGTGTGTGTGTGTACACACACACACAAAATTAGCCAGGCGCAGCGGTTCGTGCCTGTAATCCCAGGACTTTGGGAGACTGACGTGGGTGGATCACTTGAGGTCAGGAGTTTGAGACCAGCCTGGCCAACATGGTGAAACCCTGTCTCTACTAAAAAAAAAAAAAAAAAAAAAAAAAAAAAAAAAAAGGCTTGTGTGGTGACACGCGCCTGTAGTTCCAGCTACTCAGGAGTCTGAGGCAAGAGAATTGCTTGAACCTGGAAGGCAGAGGTTGCAATGAGCCAAGATCATCTACTGAACTCCAGCCTGGGTGACACGAGACTCTGTCTCAAAAAAAAAAAAAAAATTCAGATGCCATTGGAGTGACCCCATCCCTGGACCATTGTGATGGCCCTGGTTCTCTGGGAGCTCCGTGGAGTGACTCCCGCTCCTCTGTTGGGGCTGCAGTTCTCAGTGTCTCCCAAGCCCAGTGAGTCCCACAAGTGCTCCTATTTGAAGGTCTTAAGACAAACCCTCCTGGTTTCTCCCTGAGGTCTCCTCCCACGATTTCCTCACCATATTCCAGTGCCTCTGGCCTCTGGGACCCACGGTCTCAGGGTTTTGCATCAGACTGGGCAGCAAGCACCTCACTCATAGGGATGCTTCTCAGTCAAGGGCTTGCACTTTCCTCCTATCTCATCGGTGGAGCTAGAGAGGAGGAGATGTGCTGGTGCGGGGAAGCCACAGGCTCTGGTGCAGCCAAAAGACAAGAAGTGACCAAGACCACTTGAGCTGCCAGCTAAGGGAGGGGAGCAAGTCAAGGACCCCCTTAGTTTCCCTCCTGCCCACAGCAGGCTGCACACATGGCCATCCCCACCCTGTCCCGCATGGGTTCGCACAGGCATGGGCCCTGAGTCTCTTCCCCAGCAGGCAGGACCCCTGTCTCCCGGCACGGAGCTGTGGGTGCCCTGCCACCACCGTGGATTCTGTGGAGTAGAGAAAACCTGCCTGCAGAGGGAGAAGTCAGCAGATGTGCGGAGAGGCAGGGACAAAAGATAAGAGGGAGAGAGTGCAGGGCTTGGTTTTTAAAACCCTCCCAGCTCCCGGTTTGTGTGCCTGAAGCCATTCTGCATTTCTTGCCTTTGTATGCTCACAATAAAGTGCTTGTTTTTGGCACAAACGTTCCTCTTTGGGTTTGTTTCTCTTACTGGCAACCAAATTACTTGTACTCGATACCCTCCAAAGGAGGTACATGGCTGTGTAGACCCCACACAGCTCTGCAGGCAACTGTCCTCCTCCCACACCCTCTCCAGCCAACCCCTCCTTTACATCCACACATGCGTTCACACACCATGCCCCTCATGTCAGTTATCCAGTGCAGCATGACAGATGATCACATACTTAGCAGCTTACAACAACACATGTTCATTTTCTCACAGCTCCTGTGGGTCAGGAGTCCAGGCACAGCTTCTCTGGGTCCTCTGTCCAGGATCTTCATCTGCTGCAGTCAAGGCAGCAGCCAGGGCTGGGATCTCATCTGGAGGCTGGGCTGGGGAAGGATCCACTTCCCAGGAAGTAGGGATGATTGAGGGTCACCTTAGGGTCTATCCTTCACACACGAAACATCATCACAAATGACATGTGGGGAGGGGGATATTTGATACAAGGAAGAACCCCAACCTAAAAAAATCCTCAGGGTTCTGTTTTCACTCTTTCTACTTGTATTTGAATTTGGGGTTTTTGGTTGTCATTCTATTTGTTTAAGATGGAATCTTGCTCTGTCACCCAGGCTGGAGTGCAGTGACATGATCTCGGCTTACTGCTACCCCTGCCTCCCAGGTTCAAGCCATTCTCCTGCCTCAGCCTCCCAAGTAGCTGGGACTACAGGCACCCACCACCATGCCAGGCTAATTTTTTTATTTTTAGTAGAGATGAGGTTTTGATCTGTTGGCCAGGCTGGTCTTGAACTCCTGACCTCAGGTGATCCACTCACCTCAGCCCACTGAAGTGCTGGGATTACAGATGTGAGCCACTGCACCTGGCCTGAATTCAGTTTCTGTGCACATCTGTAAATTGTATTTGCACTGCACTGGTTTTTTAAATTGATAAAAGTTATGGTATACGACATGTTTTTGTATATGTATACATTGCAGAATGGTTAAATCTAGCTAATTAATATATCCATCACCTCCATTATCATTTATTTTTTGTGGCGAGAACATTTAAAATCTCTCAGCTGGCTGGGCACAGCAGCTCACACCTGTAATCTCAGCACTTTGAGAGGTTGAGGTGGGTGAATTGCTTGAAGCCGGCAGTTTGAGACCAGCCAGGGCAACATAGTAAGACCCCATCTACATAAAAAAATTAAAATTAGCCAGGTATGGTGGCCAAATGTCTGTAGTTCCAGCTACTCAAGAGGTTGAGGCAGGAGTTCGAGGGTCCAGTAAGTCATGATCATGCCAATGCACTCCAGCCTGGGTGACAAAGTGCAAGACCCTGTCTGTAAAAAAAAAAAAAAAAAAAAAAAAAAAAAAAAAGGCCAGATATGGGGGCTCACACCTGTAATCCCAGCACTTTGGGAGGCCAAGGCAGGTGGATCACATGAGCCCAGGAGTTGGAGACCAGCCTGGGCAATATGGCAAAATGCCTTCTCCACAAAATACAACAACAACCAACAAAAATTGCCAGGCATGGTGGTGCGTACTTGTAGTCCCAGCTACCCAGGAGGCTGAGGTGGGAGGATCACCTGAGCCTGGGAGTTTGAGAATGCATTGAGCCATGATCGCACCCTGTGTTCCAGCCTGGGCAACAGAGTGAGAGCCTGTCTCAAAAAAAAAAAAAAAAAAAAAAAAAAAAAGGAAGGCAAAGGATTGCAGAGTTCATCCTGAGTGGGAAGGTCTCTGAAGGATTCCAAGCAGAGGATTGGCTTGATCCGAGTTGCTCACCCTGCCAGTGGCTGGAGAATGGGAAGACTGGATGTGAGAAGGCAGTCAGGAGTCCGGGCAGAGATGGGGGTGGCCTGAGCTATCATAGTGACAGCTCAGTGCGTCCCTGCTGAAACACACTGTTGACCCCAGCCAGAGGCAACAGGGGTCTTGGTGTGAGGGGCAGGCTTGGACGGGGAGCTCAGGACTGTAGTGGAAGCCTCCCATGCCGCCCACTCCCCTTCTTTGGGCCTTGGAGGCAGAAGCTCAACCTCCCCGGTGAAGACTTCTCCTTGAGCCCACTTGCTCCAGAACCATTCCACGCTCCTGCCTGGAGCCATGTTAGCAGCCAGTTCCCCGCCCATACCCCTTCCCAGGAGGGCTGGGGGTGCCCTTTGTCCAACCTACTACTGCTATTTGGATTCCTGTAGAGAGCTGGGCCTATGAGCAGAGCTGAGGCTGGACCAATACATTATTTGCCTGTGCACCAGGCCAGTCCTAGCTGTTGGCATCAAGTAGGAACCAGAAAGACATCATCACTGGAGGATTAAGTGGGTGGGCAGCTCCTCAGCCCCAGGGGGTCCTGTTTACTTTCCTCTGGTCTGAAAATTGGGGTCCCTCGAGAGACTCCTCTGCTTTCCAGCTCTGTCAGGCCAGGAAGGGGTTCTAGTCCACCCCACCTTATCCCAGGCCTGGATGGTTCATGGCCCTGAGCTACTCCAGAGATGGTCTCAGGGCTCACTCCGTTGGCCCTGTCCTGCTCTTAGCTCTGCACGTGGCAAACGCAGCCCTGATGGGTCATTCCGTCAGACTCCAGTGGGCCCAAAGCTGGGAAGCTGAGGAGGCTGGCTCTACCCAGAACAGGAGGCCGCTGCTCTGCAGGTCAAAGCCTTACTGGCTTTTGGTGGGGAGGTTCATTGAGATGCACATCCACCTGGCTGCTTCTTTTTAGGGAAGCATCATCATGGGGAATTAAGCAAAGAAACACAGTCTAAGGCTGGGTGCGTGGCTCACACCTGTAATCCCAGCACTTTGGGAGGCCAAGGCAGGAGGATTGCTTGAGCCCAGGAGGTTAAAACCAGCTCAGGCAACATAGGAGAGACCCGCCCCCCATGTCTCTGCGAAGAAATTTTAAAAATTAGCCAGGCATGGTGGTGCATGTCTGTAGTCCCAGCTACTCAGGAGGCTGAGGTGGGAGGATCACATGAGCCCAGGAAGTCAAGACTGCAGTGAGATCTCAGGGTGCCACTACATTCCAGCCTGGGTGACAGAGTGAGAGAGACCCTGTCTCAAAAACAAGAGTCTAAGCCAGAACTTGAGAAGTGCACACAATTCCCTGATTTTCTTACAGCACAAGATTTCAGAGTACCAACTGGGGTCTATTTCCAAGAAATATCTAGGAGAAAGTATCACAGTGAGAAAACTCGGGGACCTTCACCCAAAGCCAGCCACAGTGGAAGGCAAGAGATAGAATGCAGGTCCCATTCTTTGCACTGTGAAGGTGAGCTGGGCAAGTTCAGATGCTAAATATCCAACCCCGGAGATGTGGCTGCTGTCAGCCTGGGAGGTCTTGTAAGTCCCTTTGCTTCTTTATCCCTTTGAATTTGGGTATTGATGTTGCACAATGGATAAGAAGAATGAATAACTAGTCTTTTGCAAAAGGAAGCTTTTACATGTCTCTCCTCTTTCCATCTTCTAACCTTCATTATTTTCAAGAAGAAAAGAGGCTGGGCATCGTGGCTCATGCCTGTAATCCTAGTACTTTGGGAGGCTGAGGTGGGGGGATCACTTGAGGCCAGGAGTTCAGGACCAGCCTGGGCAACATAGACCACATCTCTTTGAAAAAAGGAAAAATTAGCCAGGCATGGTAGTGTGTGCCTGTAGTCCTAGAAACTTGTGAGGCTGAGGAGGGAGGATCACTTGAGCCCAGGAGTTTGACGTTGCAGTGAGCTATGACCATGCCACTGCACTCCATCCTGGGTGGCAGAGCGAGACACTGTCTCAAAAAAAAAAAAAAGAAAAAAAGAAAAAAGAAAAGAGCTAAGTGTCATGTTGAAAATGGTCTATAAACACTTGGAAGCCTTGTGGTAAACAAAAGCTTTATTATTTTTTCTTTCATTAAAAAAATGGAGCACTGAAGAGAAACAGAGTTTGGACCCCTGGGTTCACCCCACACTAAGCAAAATAGCCCCAGATAAAGATGGCGCAGCTCACGCAGAAAATGAGGTTGACGTCCAGGAGGGTCTTCACCAAGGGGTTTTCTTCCAGGGAAACTATGATGGCTTCTGCTCTGGCCGGGAGCTCTTCCTTGCCCTTCTCCTGTATTCCACAGAGCCACAGGATGGCCTTCACCACTTTGGACTGCTTTGGGGTCATGTCACCTAGAAAGAACCCAGCAAAGGAAGACCGTAGAGGTGGTCTGTATCTCCCAGAGAGGTGAGACAGGGACACTCACCAGATGTGTTCAAGTGCTGGGATTACAGGCGTGAACCACCATCCACTATGCCCGACTGAAATCTCCCTTTTTTTTTTTTTTTTTTTTGAGAGAGTCTCACTCTGTCGTCCAGGCTGGAGTGCAGTGGCGTGATCTCGGCTCACTGCAACCTCCACCTCCCAGGTTCAAGCGATTCTCCTGCCTCAGCCTCCCAAGTAGCTGGGACTATAGGCATGCGCTACCATGCCCGGCTAATTTTTATATTTTTAGTAGAGACAGGATTTCACCATGTTGGCCAGGCTGGTCTTGAACTCCTGATTTCAAGTGATGCACCCACCTCGGCCTCCCAAAGTGCTGGGATTACAGGCCTGAGCCATGCTGACCGGCCAAAATCTCTCAATTTTTAAATGTTAACTCACATTTTGTTGAAACTGTAGGTGGGCTAAGCCAAAATATGTCTGCAAGCCGCCAGTTTAGAAGCACTAACTGAGAGAAGGCAAGTTGTGTTCCTGCCTACCCATGTGCAGAGAATAAGGATGAAATGAACCAACCGTGTCTCCGTAGGCACTCAACAAGTGTTTGTTTGCTGTTAGTGCCCGTAGGAAGCTTGTTGAAAGTTACTAAAAACTCCTTTCCCATGGCCGGAGCGTGGGGACAGATCAGACACTGGAGCCAGAGGATGCTAAAACTCCAAGTCTGCCCACTTTCCTGGCTTGTGATTTGATAGGAAAAAAAAAAAAATCAATCCCTTTAACACGTACTCCTTCTTGCTGTAACTGAGGAGAGAAGCTACTCACAGCTGTGGGTTTTAGACGTGTTTTCTTGAACCATCTCGAACTGGACGCTGCTGCTGCTGCTGGCCTCTGGCATCCCGTTCTGAGAGAGGGTAAGAGACAAGGGAGCTGCTGGTGGTGCTTGTTCCTTCTGGACCACGGGGTCGTGACGAGTAAACCAGGTCAGGTGGCTGACCTAAGGAGCAGGGATGAATGATGAGATTTGTGGTGGAGGTGGGGCCGGGGTTGTCCATCCTTTTCTCACACTCCCCACCCAACCCCACACTCAGCCTTTGTGTCTGAATCTGCTCCCAGCCCCACCCTCCCACCCCATCCTCCAACAAGCATCATGTTCCTGCACTCTTCAACATCAGCGCACAATTCCCCTGCTCATTCCCACGTCTTTCTCCGATAAACCCCATCCTCCTGTTGCTGGGATGTGATTATCCCTCATTCTAATCCCCAGAGCTTAACCCTCACCCTAGAGTATTGCAGGACCCCAGAACTGGTCATTTCAGCTCATCCGTTTCTCTGGCCACAGGGATTGAATTGGTTCACGGATGAGCATGTGTCCTGAGCTGACTCCATCAATGGAAATCTAGAAATTCTCTAGAAATTCTGGGACAGAAATATTAATGCTTATTTTTACTTTTTTTTTTTTTTTTTTTTTTTAAAGACAGGCTCTTGTTCTGTCACCCAGGTGGGAGTGCAGTGGCATGGTCATAGCTCACTGCAGCCTTAAACTCCTGGGCTGAAGCAATCCTCCTGCCTCAGCCTCCCTAGCAGCTGGGATTACAGGCATGAGCCATCACGCCCTGCTAATTTTTTCTTTTCCTTTTTTTTTTTTTTTTTTTTTTTGTGAGACAGGGTCTTGCTCTGTCACCAAGGCTGGAAGTGCAGTGGCATGGTCATAGCTCACTGCACCATCAAAACTCCTGGGCTCTGGCAATCCTCCCACCTCAGCCTCTCTAGTAACTGAGATTACAGGCATGAGCCATCACGCCCTGCTAATTTTTTCATTTTTTTAAGAGACGGGATCTCACTATATTGCCCAGGCTGGTCTCAAACTCCTGGCCTCAAGTGATCCTCCCATCTCAGCTTCCCGAAGTGCTGGGATTACAGGCATGAGCCACCGCACCCCAGCCTTATGTTTACTTAATGACAGTAAAAGAGGATGTATCTCTAGAAGATACTGGGCTCCATATGGGACCTAAGAATTGAAGCAGAAGTGCAGATGGATTCTGATGACCTTTTCAGAGTCCCAAATCATCCTGCCCCTGAACCTCAACCCTGGACTTTTCAGCTTTTTGGACAATCAGTCTCCTTCGCTTAAGTCAGTTTGAGTCAGTTTTCTGTCACTTCCAACAAAAAGTCTCAACGGATCTAGCCATCAGCCCAAATGTACCATCTCCTTGGAGGGTGGCTCTGTGAACCAGCTCACGGTGGAGACAGTGATGAGGGTGACCGTGGACAGGATCATGGAGAAGTAGAGGTAGTGAATGCTCTTCACCAGGACCGGGCGCTCATCTGGCTGGTCGCATCGAGGCTGCACGTAAATAAAGTCCAGGACCAGCCTAACCAAGCCCAGGAGCAGGCCCGAGATCAGGCCCCAGAAGGCACCCTGCAAAATCAGAGCAAGATCATCTTAGAGACGCCAAGGGCTCTGGCCTCCAGGAACCTCAAGAAGCCATCTCCAGGACTTGTCTTTCTTGTGGTGGTCACTGCAAGCACGGGTCAGCAATTTGAAAAGGTTCTGCAATACTTAACCATTTATCTTTTTATAATGAATTGATTACTAATAGTTTACTAACTCCCTCTTAATTTAGCTTCCCTGTTCAATAACAAAAAATGCATCAAGATACTTTTCATGAGAACCTCTCATTGCTTTTTTTTTTTTTTTTTTTTTGAGACAGTCTCACTCTGTCGCCCAGGCTGGAGTGCAGTGGCGTGGTCTCAGCTCACTGCAACCTCTGCCCCCCAGGTTCCAGTGATTCTCCTGCCTCAGCATCTGAGTAGCTGGGATTACAGGCGCCCACCACCACACCCGGCTAATTTTTGTATTTTGAGTAATGATGGGCTTTCACCATGTTGGCCAGGCTGGTCTCAAACTCCTGACCTCAAGTGATCCACCCACCTCGGCCTCCCAAAGTGCTGGGATTACAGGTGTGAGCCATCGCAGCAGCCCTCTCATTGCTTTTTTGCAAAGGTCAGATAAACACCCTCCCTGTATCTTCCACCAATGGAACTCACCCTCCCTCTCAACACCCAATTCCAGCCTGTGTCTCCCTCCAACACCCTCCCCTCCCATCCTATCCCAGTCCTCAAGGGGCAGCACTTGGTTCTGGCATAGTGGGAGCCATCCAGAGCTACCTTTTCATTGGTCCTCTTCCAGAAACATCCCATGATGAAGACCACCGCCACAGGCGGCTGCAGGTAGGAGCTGATGGACTGGATATAGATGAAGAGCTGGCCGCCCTGGCTGGCCTGGACCACAGGGATCCAGAGGATGGAGACCAGGACCAGCAGCAGCACAAACACCCTGGTGCCGGCGGCGAGAGGCACAAATTAGCATCATCTGAACATTTACTCCTCTTTCCCTCTCTCTGTCTCTTTTAATAGACAGGGTCTTGTTCTGTTGCCAAGGCCGGGGTGCAGTGGTGAGAGCATAGCTCACTGCAGCCTCCAACTCCTGGGCTCAAGTGATCCTCCTGCCTCAGCCTCCCGAATAGGTGGGATTACAGACACATGCCAACACTCCCAGCTTATTTTATTTTATTATTTTAATTTTTTTTTTTGAGACAGAGTCTCACTCTGTCACCCAGGCGGGAGTGCAGTGCGTCATCTTGGCTCACTGCAACCTCTGCCTCCTGGGTTCAAACGATTCTCCTGCCTCAGCCACCTGAGTAGCTGGGATTACAGGCACACGCCACCACAGCTAATTTTTGTATTTTTAGTAGAGATGAGGTTTCACCATGTTGGCCAGCCTGGTCTTGAACACCTGACCTCAAGTGATCCACCGCCTCGGCCTCCCAAAGTACTGTGATTACAGGTGTGAGCCACCTCGCCCAGCTGGGTTAAAATTATTTGCTTATTCTCCTCCTTCCCTGGCTCCATGAAGGCAAGAACTGAGCCCTTTCATGGTTATGTGCCCTGTGCCTGGTACACAGTAGGTGCTCGTTCAGCATCTCCTGAATGAATGAATGTCTTGCACATGGAGTCCTAATGCTCTTCAGCCTGGATAGGTTGCTGGCTGAACCTGGACTTTGCCTCTGGGTGGGCTCAGCTCTCTCTTCCCCCTGCCCCAGCCCCACCCAGTGGGGACTTACCTGCCCACAATCATGAGCTCCTTCTCAGATGCCCGAGGCCGGAGGTGATTCCAGAGGTCCATGGTGAAGATGGTGCTGGCACTGTTAAAGATGGAGGTGAGGGAGGACATGAGAGCCGCCACCATCACAGCCATCATCAGCCCACGGAGCCCTGGGGGCGGAAGGGAGGTCATGGGCCTCGGTCCTTTTCTGCCAAAGCAGCCGATCCCAGTGGGCTCAACTGGAGGAGGCAGAACCTCAGGGAGGACGGCGGGGCAGAGCTTCCTGCAGGACGTAGCCTTTCTTGGGGAGCCCAGAGTCTTCCTCCCCCACCAGCCCTCCTTTCTTGACCCTGCCTTGGATCAGAGCCCATCCGGTGATCTCCTTTCTGGGTGCTCCAGGGGACTTGATTCAGGAGTGAAGGGACATTACCTGTGGGCAGGAGTTCCAGCACGAGTTTGGGATACGCGATGTCCGAACAGCCTGAGGGGTTGCTGCAGATCTTCTGGCAGATCTCTGGATCTGCACAGGCCACTTGATCTACGAAGGAAACACAGGCCCAGAGGTGAGCAGTCAGGCCCCCAGAGCCCCAGGCCCAGGCAACATGGGGCCGGACACAGGCTTATCATATGGAAGTTTATAGCTCAATGAAATAAAAAAGAGTCTAGACTTTATAAGCTGTGACCTTGTTACTTACGCTTTCTGAGACGAGTTGCCCTATTTGTAAAACTAGGATAATAACACGACTTTATAGGAAGTGCTGGAAAAAATTCAGCTATTGTTATCGTAACCCAGATGAAGCTGGGACACCTAGTGGCCAATCTTACAATAATGTCTTTTTTTTTTTTTTTTTTGAGACGGAGCCTCTTGCTCTGTCGCCCAGGCTGGAGGGCAGTGGCACGATCTCAGCTCACTGCAACCTCTGCTTCCCAGGTTCAAGTGATTCTCCTGCCTCAGCCTCCCGAGAAGCTGGGATTACAGGCACCCACCACCATGCCCGGCTAATTTTTGTATTTTTAGTAGAGATGGGGTTTTGCCATGTTGGCCAGGCTGGTCTCGAACTCCTGACCTCAAGTGATCCGTCCATGATCATTAACTCACTGTTCAGTAACATCTGCTCACCTGTCCTGGTTAATGAATCATTTCCTATACGTAGATTCTCTTGTCAGAATGCTTCACACCCTCTGATGCCTGAAATAAGATGCCTCTAGCCCAGTTAAATCCAAACATAGCACAAAACCTTCTTCTTCCACAAACCCAACATTAACTGAAGGTTTACTATGACTCAGGAGCTGCAGTAAGCTTTGTACATACACCTCATTTAATTTTCACAACTCTATGGGGGAAGATACTGTTATTATCCCTATTTCAAAGACAGATAAACTGAGGCCCAGAGGTTAGTTTCTCCAGATTATATTGCTAGTAAGTATTATGGCCAGGAGGCAAACCCTTAGTTTATTTCAAAGCTCAGGTAGAGAAGATTGGCTCTGTAAATACTGCATTTCTAAACTCTGTGTGTGTGTGTGTGTGTGTGTGTGTGTGTGTGTGTGTGTGTGCGCGCGCGCGCGTGTTTTTGAGATGGGGTCTTGCTCTGTCGCCCAGGCTGGAGTTCAGTGGTGCCATCTTGGCTCACTGCAACCCTAGCCTCACAGGCTCCAGCCTCCCAAGTAGCTGGAATTACAGGCATGTACCATCACACCCAGCTAATTTCTTTTTCTTTAATTAATTTTTTTATTTTTATTTTTATTTTTTCTTGAGATGGAGTCTCACTCTGTCGCCCAGACTGGAGTGCGTGGCACAATCTCGGCTCACTGCAACTTCCTCTTCCAGGTTCAAGCGATTCTCCTGCCTAAGCCTCCTAGCCTGTAGCTGGTATTATAGGCGTGCCACCACACCCAGGTTTTTTTTTTTTTTTTTTTTTTTTTTTGTATTTTTAGTAGAGACGGGGTTCCATCATGTTGCCCAGGCTGGTCTTGACCTCCTGGCCTCAAGTGTTCCTCCCGCCTTGGCTTCCCAAAGTGCTGGGATTGTGTTTTGAGGGTTGTTTTGCTTCTCTCTTAATTTCCATATAGTTTATTTAAAAATATGTGCCATTTCTCATGGATGAAGCTGGAAACCATCATTCCCAGCAAACTAACACAGGAACAGAAAACCAAACACCACATGTTCTCACTCATAAGTGGGAGTTGAACAATAAGAACACATGGACACAAGGAGGGGAACATCACACACTGGGGCCTGTCGGGGGGTGGAGGGCAAGGGGAGGGAGAGCATTAGGACAAATACCTAATGCACGTGGAGCTTAAAACCTAGATGACAGGTTGATTGGTGCAGCAAACCACCATGGCACATGTATACCTATGTAACAAAGCTGCACGTTCTGCACATGTATCCCAGAACTTAAAGTTTAATGAAAAAATAAAAATATGTGCCATTTCTCAGATGGACTTAGCAGAAGAGGGTTTTTTTCCAGGCTCACAAGAACTCAGGATCAGAAAATACTTTTAGGCAGCTGTGGACTCCGTTGAAGATTTAGGAGGGAGCCAGTGGAGCCGTGGTGGAGAGAGAAGTGCAAATAGGGAGGCAGAGTGCTTGGCCCTGAAACTGGCCCTTTAGACCTGGGGTTCTCAACCTTCTAGTGGACTTGTTAAAAAAATAGGTGGCTGGCACAGACAGGAAAAAATGCTTAACATCACTAATCATCAAGGAAATGCAAATCAAAACCTCATGAGATATCATCTCACCCTAGTTAGAATGGGGATCATCAAAAAGACAAAACATAATAAATGCTGGTGAAGATGTGAAGAAGGGGAAACTCTTATACATTGTTGGTGGAGATGTAAATTACTACAGCTAGTATGGAAAACTATGGAGGTTCCTCAAAAAACTGAAAATAGAACTACCATATGATCCAGCAATTTTGCTACTGGGCATATATCCTGATATGGCTTGGCTCTGTGTCCCCACCCAAATCTCATCTCCAATTGTAATCTCCACATGTCAAGGGAGGGAACTGTAATCCCCCCATGTCGAGGGAGGGAGGTGATCGGATCATGGGGGTGGTTCCCCCTTGTGTACTCATGATAGTGAGTGAGTTCTCATGAGATCTGATGGTTTTATAAACGTCTGGCATTTTCTGAGCTTGGACTTCTCTCTCCTGCCACCATGTGAAGAAGGTCCTTGCTTCCCCTTCGCCTTCCACCATGACTGTAAGTTTCCTGAGGCCTCTCCAACCATGTGGAACTGTGAATCAATTAAACCTCTTTCCTTTATAAATTACCCAGTCTCAGGTAATATCTTCATAGCAGTGTGAAAATGGATTAATACATATCCAAAGCAATTGGAATCAATATAGCAAATGGATACCTGCACCCCATTTATTGCAACACTCTTCACAATAGCCAACATATGGAATCAACCTCAGTGTCTGTCAACAGATGAATGGGTAAAGAAAATGTGGTACATATACATACAGAGTGGACTACTATTTAGCCATAAAAAAGAATGAAATTCTTTTTCATATTCATTCATGGCAACGTGGATGAACTTGGAGAATATTATGTTAAGTGAAATAAGCCAGGCACAGAAAGATAAATACTGCATACTCTCACTCATATGTGGAAGCTTGAAAAGTTGAGCTCATGGAAGTAGACAGTAGGATAGTGGTTTCTAGAGGCTGGGAAGGGTAGTGGGGAGGAGGGTAGCCAAAGGTTGGTAAATGGATAGAAAAGTACAGCTAGACAGGAGGAATAATGTGTAGTGTTCTATAGCACTATAGGGTGACTATAATTCACAACAATTTATTGTACATTTTCAAATAGTCGAGAGTGGATTTTGATTGCCCCCAACACAAAGAAATGATAAATATTTGAGGTGATAGATAAGCTAATTACACTGATGTGGTCATTACACATTGTATAATGTATCAAAATATCACACTGCACCTTATAAGTATGTACAATTTGTATTAAAATAATTAGTTAAAAATAATAAGAGAAAAAAAAAAAACAGATGTCCCTCCAGGGATTCTGATTCAGAAGGTTTTGAATCGGGACTGAAAGTTTGCACTTCTAACAAGTTCCCAGGAGCCACTGCTGGGCTGGGGACCACACTCTGAAAAGCACTGGTCTGGGCCTCCAGAGAAGGGAGAGAGACTTCAAATACACAATGCCCACTTCACTCTCTCTAATTCACCTTACTCTCTAAAATTTATTTTGCACCTCTTGCTTGTATCATATGATAGAGTATTTCAATATATAGTTTATGTTATTTTTCCATGAGTATGAGACTCATCTGCTACATTACAAAGTCCTAGGTTCATGGAACATGGTGTTATGTCTCATTTAATAATGACTGTTGGCTGGACACGGTGGCCCACGCCTGTAATTCCGACACTTTGGGAGGCCGAGATGGGCAGATCACCTGAGGTCAAGAGTTTGAGACCAGCCTGACCAACACGGAGAAACCCCATCTCTACTAAAAATATGAAATTAACCGGGGTTGGTGGCGCATGCCTGTAATCCCAGGAGGCTGAGGCAGGAGAATCGCTTCAACCCAGGAGGCAGAGGTTGCAGTGAGTGGAGATCGCACCATTGCACTCCAGCCTGGGCAACATGAGCAAAACACCGTCTCAAAAAAAAAAAAAAAAAAGACTTGATTGGCTGATTGGTTGTTAAGACAGATGGTCAAGGTCTTGTTATTGATCTTCCATATATCAACCCAGGTCTTCAGGCATAATTTGCATAAACAAGAGTCAAGTTTTAGAATCAGCTACATCTGGATTCAAATCCTGGCTCATCTGGCACTAGCTCAGTAACTCCCAGAAAGTCACTTAGCTTAGGAGTGATCCTGGATTCCTTTTTTTTTTCCCCCTTAACCTTTACATTCAATCCATTATTAATCTGATTGGCTCTATGATGTACTTTCAAACCATTGCATGGGTCAACTGTTGCCTCCTCAGAAAGGACTTCCCGGGAAACCTTGTCAGAAGTAGCTCTGATCTGACATTCTTTTTGATATCTCCTTGTGCATCCTCCTCCTGGCATTTAGCACAGTCAAAAATTATTTATGTTTTTACTCTTTTCTGAGACACAGTCTCACTTTGTCACCCAGTCTGGAATGCAGTGGCTCGAACACAGCTCACTGCAGCCTCGACCTCCCAGGCTCAAGTGATTCTCCCACTTCAGCCTCCTGAGTAGCTGGGACTACTATATATGTGTGTGTGTGTGTGTGTGTGTGCGTGTGTGTGTGTGTGTGTGTGTGTGTATTTTTTTTTCCAGAGATGGGATCTTGCCATGTTGCCCAGGCTGGTCTCAAACTCCTGGGCTCAAGCGATCTTCCTGCCTTGGCCTCCCAAAGAGCTGGGATTACAGGCGTGAGCCACTGCACCTGGCCTTATTTATTTACTTATTTCTGTCTTTGTCCTCCACCACTAGGATGTAAGTCCCTCTACAGCAAGGATCCTGTAGTCTTGTTCACTTATGGGCCCCCAGAGTGTTCTAGAATAACGCTTGGAAGATAATTGGCTCTCAAAATATTTGTTGAATTCATGGAAGAATAAATAAATGAGTGAATGAATGATTTTTTTTAAACAAGGTCTCACTTTGTCACCCAGGCTGGAGTGCACTGATCATGGCTCACTGCAGCCTCAACCTCCCAGGCTCAAGCGATCCTCCCACCTCAGCCTCCCAAGTAGCTGGGACTATAAGCACATGCCACCATGCCTGGCTAATTTTTGTATTTTTTGTAGATACGAGGTTTCATCACGTTGCCCAGGCTGGTCTCAAACTGCTGAGCTCGAGCGATCTGCCTGCCTTGGCCTCCCAAATTTCTGGGATTATAGGTGTGAGCCATTGCTCCTGGCCAAATGAATAATTTCTCTAAGCTTCAATTTCCTCATCTGTAAGATGAAAAGTATAATAGTACCTACCATATAAGGTTGTTTTGAGGATGAAATGAGGTAATACATGTATAAAATAATAATAGTAAACACTTGGATAGAGCTTACTGTGTGCCAGGAGCTGCTTTAAGCCTTGTAAAATATTACCCCCATTTTACAAGTGAGGAAACGAAGCAAAGAGACATTAAATGGCTTATGCAAGTTCAAACACCTCATAAGCGGCAGAGCAAATTCAGGCCTGGGCCTTCCAGATCAGAATCCATATTCATATCCACACTCCACTCTGAAGCTCTTTTCATAGGGACTGACCCTTAGCAAGTGCACAATGAATGTGGTTGTTTGAAGCCATATTCTTTCCTTTTTTTTTTTTTTTTTTTTTAGAGATAGGGTCTTGCTATGTTGTCCAGGCTAGAATGCAGTGGTGTAATAATAGCTCACTGCAGCCTCAACCTCCTGGGCTCAAGCAATTCTCCTGCCTCAGTTTCCCAAGTAGCTGGAACCACAGGTGAGCACCACCACACCTGGCTAATTTTTAAAAATTGTTTTTGGTAGAGAGCGGGTCTGGTATCGTTACCCACGATGGTCTTGAACTCTTGGCCTCAAGAGATCCTCCTGCCTCAGCCTGCCAAAGTGCTGGGATTACAGGCGTGAGCCACTGCACCTGGCCTGAAGCTATTTCTGTGTTCCTATGTCAAGACTTGCTGAACAGCTGTATATTTTCCAAATCACTGCAAAACCCAGATCCCAGTTCTTAACTCCCTCTGGATCTTCCCAAGGCTTTTGCCCTTTCCTGGAAGCAGGACTAGGGACTATTTGTGGGTTCCTCATCCCACCAGGGCTGGAGGAACACAAGGGTTCAAGGTCTAGCACCATGGACAGTGCCCCCATTTGCCTTCCCCATCTCTTTTCTCCTGCTTCTTAAGGGTCCTAAATTATTTTGACTAAGCTTCTGAGCCAACTACAAACCACTTCATCCTACCCTTTCTTAGCTTCTGTGTAACATTATGTAGGATAAGGCACAGGGGAGGAAACTTTCTGCTTTCCATCCCCTTTAGTTAATAACATCCTTGGTGAGTACACTGGAAAGCTCACTGTTTCAGGGGAAAAGAGAGGAGCTTTCTTCTGTATAGATCACCAGTTTCTGACACCACAGTGTCTTCTGGTGACATTGCCCCTCCTCGGTATCATTTATCCCCATGGTATAAACCTATTCCCTTACCACATTAAGAAAAAAACTAAAGCAAATGCTCTAGAGGCCTCGATATCCCATGAGATTTGTTAAGAAAAGTACACCCAGCTGGGCACAATGGCTCACACCGTAATCCCAGCACTTTGGGAGGCTGAAGTGGGTGGACTGCTTGAGCCCAGGAGTTCAAGACTAGCCTGGGCAACACAGTGAGACCCCCATAGCTACAAAAATTATAAAAATCAGCTGGGCATGGTGGTGGGCACCCGTAGTCCAGCTACTAAGGAGACTGAGGTGGGAGAATTGCTTGAGCCTGAGAGCTCCAGGCTGCAGTGAGCTATAATCATGCCACTGCACTCCAGCCTGGGTGACAGAGTGAGACCCACCTAAAAAAAAGAAAAAGTACCGCAGGCCAGCTGTGGTGGCTCACGCCTGTAATCCCAACACTTTGGGAGGCCAAGGTGGGAGGATCACAAGGTCAAGAGATCGAGACCATCCTGGCCAACATGGTGAAACCCCATCTCTGCTAAAAATACAAAAATTAGCCGGGCATGGTGGTGCATGCCTGTAGTCCCAGCTACTTGGGAGGCTGAGGCATGAGAATCACTTGAACCCAAGAGGCAGAGGTTGCAGTGAGCTGAGATTGTGCCACTGCACTCCAGCCTGGCAACAGAGTGAGACTCTGTCAAAAAAAAAAAAATCCAAAAAGGATTTCACTGGGCCAAAGTTACCCAACCCAACCACTGAGCTCAAACACTAAAGTAAGGGACAAACTTTCACATGAGACTTCAGAGAACTGCTCTGGAACCACAAGACCTTAGCCTAGTTGGTTTCAAAAAAATATAGTTGAGGCAAGATCCCAGTTGAGTCTCCACTCAATTTGGCCTGGGATACCTATAGGACTTGCCCATTGAACCAATGTTGAGAAACAGCATAGAGTCACTAGATGCCTAGACAGAGATGCCTCAGTCTCATCACTAGGAAAGGACTCTATGGCCAGGCATGGTGGCTCATGCCTGTAATCCCAGAATTTAGGGAGGTCAAGGCAGGAGGATCGCTTGAGGCCTGGAGTTTGAGATCAGCCTGGGTAACATAGTGAGACCCTGTCTTTACAAAAACTTTTGAAAAATAGCCAGGTGTGGTAGTGCATGCCTGTAGTCTCAGCTACTTGGGAGGCTGAGGCGAAAGGATCCCTTCAGCCCAGAAGTCTGAGGCTGCAGTGAGCTATGATCATGTCACTGTACTCCAGCCTAGGTGACAAAGTGAGACCCTGTCTTTAAAAAAATGCAAAAAAGGCCAGGCATGGTGGCTTACGCCTGTAATCCCAGCACTTTGGGAGGCCAAGGTGGGTGGATCACGAGGTCAGGAGATCGAGACCATCCTGGCTAACATGGTGAAACCCTGTCTCTACTAAAAGTGCAAAAAATTAGCTGGGCATGGTGACGGGCACCTGTAGTCCCAGCTACTCAGGAGGCTGAGGCAGGAGAATGGCGTGAACCCAGGAGGCAGAGCTTGCAGTGAGCCAAGATCGTGCCACTGCACTCCAGCCTGGGCGACAGTGCAAGACTCCGTCTCAAAAAAAAAATGCAAAAAAAAAAAAAGGACTGGGCATGTTGGCTCACACCTGCAATCTCAGCACTTTGAGAGGCCAAGGCAGGAGGATAGCTTGAGGCCAGGAGTTCAAGACCAGCCTGAGCAACATAGCAAGACAGCATCTCTATTTTTTCAAAAAATTAGCCAGGCATCATGGTGCATACCTGTAGCCCCAGCTACTCAGGAGGCTGAGGTGGGAGGATTGCTCAAGCCCAGTAGTTCAAGGTTACAGTGAGCTATGACCATACCACTGCACTCCAACCTGAATGACAGAATGAGACTCTGTCTTAGAAAAAGAGAGAAAGGACTGTAGTCACATTCTCTTGAGGCTTCTAATAATATGTTTAGAATAATTCACATGGTCTGAGACTCACATACCAATGACCTCTTCCCCCAGCTGTGTTCTCACCTGGGAAGAGGATGCGGCTGACCATCCCAGGGAACACCATTATGAAGAGGGGCAGCACCTTCAGGTATGCAGCCATCAGAGCACCTCCTTTGGCATGGGACAGGTTCTTGGCAGCCAGAGTCCGCTGGACAATCACCTGGAAAAGATCAAGGGGGTTGGAAACTGGGAATGCTGATATAGTTTGGTTGTGTCCCCACCCAAATCTCATCTTGAATTGTAGCTCCCATAATTCCCACATGTTGTGGGAGGGAGTCAGTGGGAGATAACTGAATCATGGGGGCAGTTTCCTCCATACTGTTCTCATGGTAGTGAATATGTCTCATGAGATCTGATGGTTTTATAAGGGGAAACCCCTTTCACTTGGCTCTCATTCTCTCTTTGCCTGCTGCCATCCATGTAAGACGTGACTTGCTCCTCTTTGCCTTCTGCCATGATTGTGAGGCCTCCCCAGCCATGTGGAACTGTGAGTCCATTCAACCTCTTTATAAATTACTCAGTCTCAGTATGTCTTTATCAGCAGTGTGAGAACAGACTGTATTAGAAGGCTTTCTCTTAAGGCAAACGGGGTGTGTAGCCTCTTGGTAGTTGTAGGAGACTTAGGATCTTGGTTTGCCAAGCTTCTGTTTGAAGAAACATCTCTTTCCTATGCTCAGTCCCTGTGGTCTAATTCAGGTAGTTTAGACACCCACCCCATTCCCTCCTTACTCTTTTATCCAGGGGTTACGCCTTGCCAATTAGAGTCCTCCACAGAATTATTTCACCTCTCTGGCTACTATGATCCATGAAGGAAAAGCATGTCCCCAAGGCAATCCAACCACAGCTCTCCATGGAACTTCTTCCTTAAAAAGGCAAAGGAGGCTGGGTGCAATGGCTCACGCTTGTAATCCCAGCACTTTGGGAGGCCAAAGCAGGAGGATTGCTTGGGCCCAGGAGTTCAAGACCAGCCTGGCCAACATGGTGAAACTCTATCTCTATAAAAAAATACAAAAATTAGCTGGGTGCATTGGCGCACACTTGTAATCCCAGCTACTTGGGAGGCTGAGACAGGAGAATCACTTGAACCCGGGAGGTGGAGGGTGCAGTGAGCCAAGATCGCACCACTGCACTTCAGCCTGGGCGATAGAGTGAGACTCTGTCTCAAAAAAAAAAAAAAAAAAAAAAAAAAAAGGAAGGAGGTTGTCTAACTCCTGGTGCCTCCTTCGCAATTCCTAACTGTGAAGGTAGTGTAGAGCTGCTGGCTGCATCTCTGCCATGATATGGGAAGGCCTCTTTGAAACTAAGTCATCACAGAGGAAAGAAAACCAGGAAATGGAGAGAAAGGCAATGTGTGATGATGTAGTATCAGAGACAGGCAGTCTGGGTTCAAATACTACCTCCCCACTTCCCGCCTATCTGACCTTGGGCAAGCAACTTCACCTCTCTTGGCCTCTGATTCCTCATCTATGAAATGAGCATAGTACCAGCCCAGTTTTGACAATTAGAGAAGTGAAAGTACTTAGAATACTTAGAATATGACACATAGTAACTGCTTCATAAATATTAGTTGCTTCCATTGCCATTAGCCACCTCTGGACTCCCCATCATGTAAATTTTTTAAAATGCCTTTTTTTTTTAAGAGATGGGGTCTCACTCTGTTGCCCAGGCTGAAATGCAATGATGTGATCACAGCTCACTGTAGCCCCAAAGTCCTGGGCTCAAATGATCCTCCTGCCTCAGTCTTTCAAGTAGCTGAGACAACAGGCATGAACAACCATGTCAAGCTAATTTTTAAAATTTTTATTTAGAGATGGGGTCTTGCTATATTGCTATATTGAGGAGGCTGGTCTTGAACCCCTGGCCTCAAACAATTCTCCTGCCTCAGCCTCCTAAGTAGCAATGTCACCACACTTGGCTACATTTTATGTTTAATTTTATTTTTTGTAGAGACAGACTCTCACTATGTTGCCCAGGCTGGTCTCCAACTCCTGATGTCAAACAACCCTCCTGCCTCAGCCTCCCAAAGTGCTGTGATTATAGGCGTGAGCCACCACGCCCAGAAAAAAAAAAAAAAGAGCCTTTTTATCCTTAAACAATTTTTTCCACATAAACAACTAAATGAGTCCTCACTAAATCATCAAAGAACCCTTAATGAGAAGAGTGTAGTGAGGTTAAGACTTGCTGCAAACCCCATACCACAGCCCCAATAATTTAGATTTCACAGCACATTTTGATGGGGAGAGAGATGTCACCTTGGGCGGTATTTCATCTGCAGAGTCCATGGGACTGTACCTTGTCAGAGACAGTTGCCCGAAGGCATCAATGTGCTCAAGGACAGTGTGAAATATGCAGTTTTTGTTAATGACCTAACTGCATTAGCAGTGACACAAACCGGGCTTGGTGGACACGTTTCAAGGACAGGTACTCATGCCCACTGGACACAGCACATTCAGCCGGTCAGAATTCAAAAAAGCTCCGGTCACAAGCTGGCTGTCCAACTGAGGGGTCCCTTCCCTCCCCCACCTTCCCCTCCCCTCCCCTCCTTTTCCCTTCCCTCCCTTCCCCTCCCCTCTCCTGTCCTCTCCTTTCTTCTTTCCTCTCCTCTCCTTTCCTACTTTTTTTTCTTTTCTTTTCCTTTCTTTTTTGAGATGGAGTCTTGCTTTGTCATCCAGGTTGGAGTACAGTGCTGGGATCTCTGCTCACTGCAGCCTCCACCTCCTGGGTTCAAGCAATTCTCCTGCCTCAGCCTCCCAAGTAGCTGGGATTACAGGATCCTGCCACCATGCCCGGCTAATTTTTGTATTTTTAGTAGAGATGGGGTTTCACCATGTTGGCCAGGCTGGTCTCAAACTCCTGACCTTAAGTGATCCACCCACCTCAGCCTCCTAACTTGCCGGGATTACAGGCATGAGCTGCCACACCCAGCCGGGTCTGTTTTCTGTAACCATCAGATCCTAAAAGGGAGAGTAGTCGGATGGTTCTTTTTTTTTTCTTTCTTTCTTTTTTTCTGAGGCAGGATCTCACTCTATCACCCAGATTGGAGTGCAGTGGTGCAATCATGGCTGACTGCAGCCTTGAACTCCAGAGCTAAAGTGATCCTCCCACCTCAGCATCCCAAGTAGCTGGGACCACAGGCATACACCACCACACCCAGCTATTAATATTTTTTAAATTTTTTTGTAGAGATGAGGTCTCGCTATGTTACCCACTGGTTTCAAATCCCTGGGCTCAAGCAATCGTCTTCTCACAGCCTCCCAAAGTGCGGGGATTACAGGTGTGAGCCACTGTGCCCAGCCAAGTGGTTCCTTTTTGTTTGTTTGTTTGTTTGTTTTTTGGGACGGAGTCTCGCTCTGTCACCCAGGCTGGAGTGCAGTGGCGCGATCCGGGTTCACTGCAAGCTCCGCCTCCCGGGTTCAGCTATTCTCTTGCCTCAGCCTTCCAAGTAGCTGGGACTACAGGTGCCCACCACCATGCCCAATTAATTTTTTGTATTTTTAGTAGAGACGGGGTTTCACTGTGTTAGCCAGGATGGTCTTGATCTCCTGACCTCGTGATCCGCCCGCCTCAGCCTCCCAAAGTGCTGGGATTACAGGCGTGAACCACTGTGCCCAGCCAAGTGGTTCTTAGTAAGAAACATCTCAGTTGCAGGGGAAAAAGTGAGCTAAGAGGAATGAAAATGCAACCTGAATATGTGGGGAGGAGGGGCCATGATTAGCTATGTCAGCCATCTGTTATGGCATCTGTCATCTAGCCACCTTATCTTTCCTTGCTTTTTCCACATTAATCATGTATAAATTTTCCCTTCCTTGGGGTGGGAAAGGAGGAGGGAGAGCTGTCATGGTGGAGCATGGTGACCAGGGAGCAGGCATCTGCACAGAAATGCAGCTGGGGGTGGGTTCCCAGAATTGAGAGCATCCAATAGGTGTGGTGCAATGAGTCAATGGAGCGATTTAAAGTGCAGACGGACTTAGGTGTGAATCCCCCCACCAGCTCTTTGTGAGTTTGGATGAGTTCCTTAACCTTTCCAGGCTCAGCTCTCTCATCTGTAAAATGGGGATGATAACTGTGCTTGCTTTTCAGGTGTCTAGCAGCTCTTTAGCAAAGAGAGCAGTTGTGATTATTGGCATTGTCATCATCACTGCTATTGTTAGATGAAACCAGAGAAAGAAGTTCCAACAGGTCAACGAAATAGAAATAGATGAGAGTAGGATTAGATAGTGGAAACTGGATCAGAGAGCTGTAGGTCAGAAGTTCAGAAATCTGGCTGGGTGCAGTGGCTCACGCCTGTAATCCCAGCAGTTTGGGAGGCCGAGGTGGGTGGATCACTTGAGGTCAGGAGTTCAAGACTAGCCTGGCCAACATAGCGAAACCCTATCTCTACAAAAAATACCAAAAATTAGCTGGGCATAGTGGTGCACGCCTATAGTCCCAGCTACTCAGGAGGCTGAGGCATGAGAATTGCCGGAACCCAGGAGGCAGAGGTTGCAGTGAGCCGAGATTGCACTACTTTACTCCAGCCTGGGCAACAGAGCGAGACTCTGTCTCAAAACTAAAAATAATAATAAATAATAAAAATAATAAAAAAGAAGTTCAGAAACCTGAAAACAGTAAACATTGGTTCAATAAAGGAAGGAGGAAGATGGTCTTGGGGGAATACCTGGGCAGGTGAAATTGTCTCTGGCTGGTTTTTACAAACGGCTTTTTCCTGGTGGCAGAATGGGTCAACTGTCTTTTTTTGTTTCGTTTTGTTTGTTTTTGAGACAGAGTGTTGCTGTTGCCCAGGCTGGAATTACAGGCATGAGTCACTGTGCCCGGCATAATTAATTAATTAATTAATTAATTTTTTGAGATGGAGTCTCACTTTGCTGCCCAGGCTGGAGTGCAATGGCATGATCTCGGCTCACTGCAAACTCCACCTCCCGGGTTCAAGTGATTCTCTTGCCTCAGCCTCCTGAGTAGCTGGGATTACAGGTGCCTGCCACCACACCTGGCTTTTTTTTTTTTTTTTTTTTTTTTTGTATTTTTAGTAGAGACAGGGTTTTGCCATGTTGGCCAGGCTGGTCTCAAACTCCTGACTTCAGGTGATCCACCCGCCTTGACCTCTCAAAGTGTTGGGATTACAGGCATGAGCCACCGCACCCAGCCAGGTCTGTTAAATTTAAAGCCCATGATGTTAGCCCGGATCAGTCCTGTTTCTCAAGGTCTCTCCTACCTGAGATGTGCTAAGGAGGAGAAGGGGGTCTCTCTCTTAATGGGGCAGTACATGTGCATTGCTCTCATCACTGCCTTGGTCCTTAGCTCTCCGCTCAAAGGAGGGCTGGCCTATGGATGAGACCTGGGTTTCATTCTCTGAAGTCTCCTGCATCAAATCAATGTCCAATGCCATGATTATTGCTTTAATTAAACTGTCATCAGCCCTCACTATGCAGTATAACTCCCCAAGTGGTACATTGATCTCTGATGTTTCATGTACCAGAAAAATAATATTTGAACACGTGATATATTCACTCAGTTTAAAACCCGAGAAAATATAACATGCAGTAAATCGGCTCTCATTCATCCTTCCCACCCGCCCTGCCTCCCTGCCCACAGGTATCCACTCTTCTTAGTTTTGTATACATCCATCCAGAGTTTATGGACATATAAGCAAATGCAAATATTGATTCTATTCTCCTTTTTTTTTTTTTTTAACACAAAAGGACTTCTTGTACACATGGATCTGCTTTCTGATTTTTTTCCTTTCTTTTTTCACACCAGTTATGTATCTGCCTCGCTCTGGGTGTTCCTTCTGCTGCAAACTCTTCCTCCAAAAATCACAGGAAGCTCTCGCTCTTCTACAAAGTCTTTGGTCAAAGGTCACTTCTGAATGATACCTCCCCTCAGCACCCTACATTATTTGAGACAGGATCTTACTGTCTCAAGCCTGTTGCCCAGGCTGAAGTGCAGTGGTGCAATCTCAACTCACTGCAGCTTTGACCTCCTGGGTTCCAGCAATCCTCCCACCTCAGCCTCCCAAGTAGCTGGGACTCCAGCTGCACACCACCGTGCCTGGCTAATTTTTACTTTTTTTTTTTTTTTTTTTTTAGAGATGGTCTCACTATGTTGCCCAGGTTGGTCTCAAACTCCTGGGCTCAAGTGAGCCTCCTGCCTCAGCATCCTAAAGTGTGTGAGCCACCTGTCACCCCATTTTAAATTGCACTCCCACACTCTCAATCTCCTTGACCTCACTCTACTTTTTAAAATGATATTTATCAAACTTTAACATCTCACATAATTTACTTATTATCTCCGTCTACTCCCATTAGAAGAAGGGAAGCTCCACAAGGGCAGAGAGCTTTGTTTGATTTATTAGCTCCTGATTTTAAGTGCCCAGAAGAGTGCCTGGTACGTAGAGGACACCCAGTGTGTATTTGTTGAACAAATGATGTCCAATAGGAGTTTTACCCCCATTTAAAAGGTATCATCTCCTTTGCTTACTGGATATTCTCATACATTAAGCAAAGTGTATTAGGCCAGCTGCAGTGGATCACACCTATAATCCCAGCACTTTGGGAGGCTGAGGCGGGAGGATCACTTGAACTCAGGAGCCTGAGAGCAGCCTGGTCAGTGTAGTGAGACCTGCATCTCTACTAAAAAATAATAATAATAATAAATAGCTGGGCATGGTGGCATGTGCCTGTAGTCCCAGCTACTCAGGAGGCTGACATGGGAGGATCTCTTGAGCCCAGGAGATGAAGGCTGCTGTGAGCTATGATCGTGCCTCTGCCTTCCAGCCTGGGTGATAGAGTGAGACCCTGTCTCAGAAAAAAAAAAAAAAAAAAAAGGCAGAGTGTGTTGAGTTTTCCCCTTTGCAAATATCAGCAGCTTTGGATTTGTCATTCCCATTCACAGAGGAAGAAATAAAATAGCATGTAGAGCAATGGAAAGGAGGAAGTAGTCAAGGAAGCAGGGAAAACGCAAATGAGAGAAGAGATGGAGGAAGAAAAAAGCACCGACTTCAGCCACCCTAAGGAAAGAAGCAAAGAGAAGGAAAAACTTGCTCAGGCCACTGTCCTGTACCTGATCCGTGCACCAGTACCAGAGGGATGGGATGGACATTCCAAATAGGACCCCCGGCCACGGGAGATCAGATGTCAGCGGATCTCGGAAAATATGGAAGGCATCTTCCCGGGGCAGCCCGCAGCTGCTGTTCTCACTCCGGTTGCTAGCCAGGGCCAAGAAGTACTTCTCCTTCAGTCCTTCCATCCCACCAACCGCGGCGAAACCTAGAATTCAGAGGAAGCCTATTTTCCGGGAACTCAGATTGGTCCATGGCAAGTGATGAGGAGATGGCTGGAGACTGGTGAAATTCTAGTAGGACCAGAGCCACCAAAAATGTTAATCCCCTTAAGGGTTCTTAACCTCCTCCCCACATTTTTTTAACTTAAAAAAATTAATATTAGAGTTTTATTGGACTATAATTGACCTAACCATAAATTACAAATATGTAAAATGTAAAATTTGGTGTTTGACATAAGTATTCACCCATGAAACCTCCGTCACAAAGTAATGAATGTATCTATCCAAGTTTCTTTTTTCTTTCTTTCTTTCTTCCTTCCTTTCTTTCCTTCCTTCCTTCTTTTTTTTTTTTTTTTTTTTTTTTTTTTTTTTGATATGAAGTCTTGCTCTGTCACCAAGGCTGGAGTGTAGTAGCATGATCTTGGCTCACTGCCACCTCCGCCTCCCAGGTTCAAACGATTCTCCTGCTTCAGCCTCCTGAGTAGCTGGGATTACAGGCATGTGCCACCATGCCTGGCCAATTTTTGTACTTTTAGTAGAGATGGGGTTTCACCACGTTGGCCAGGCTGGTCTCGAACTCCTGACCTCAAGTGATACTCCTGGCCATTGTCCCATGCCATTGTATGTTATTTAAGCCCATTGAATTCTCCCAAAAATAATTTACTACCTCCCTAAAATCATCTACACTTGTCCATCTCCTTTTTCCTTAAGAAGTGCGGTATAGAAACATCTGTATGACATTAGGATATTGAGAAATCCCTCTGTAATTCTCCCCTGTGTGTGCTAATAAATTTGTATGCCTTTTCTTCTATTAATCTGCCTCTTGTGGGTTGATTTTCCAGTGAGATTTCCAGTCTTCCCTTCGCTCCTACAATTGCTTCTCAGAAGAATACTTCTAAATAATGCAAAAATACATAGGATTGCAAAGAAATCAAATATATTGAACCATCAAAATATTAAAAATGTGACATAGTAATTTATTTATTTGCTCCATTAAATTGTAAGACTGGCCAGGCACAGTGGCTCACACCTGTAATACTAGCACTTTGGGAGGCCGAGGTGGGCGAATCGCCTGAGGTCAGGAGTTCGAGACCAACCTGGCCCACATGGTGAAACCCTGTCTCTACTAAAAATACAAAAATTAGCCAGGCGTGGTGGTGGGTGCCTGTAATCCCAGCTGCTCAGGAGGTTGAGGCAGGAGAACGTCTCCTGGAGGTAGAGGTTGCAGTGAGGCAAGATTGCGCCACTGCATTCCAGCCTGCGTGACAGAGCGAGACTCCATCTCAAAAAAAAAAAAAAAAAAAAAAAAAAATTGTAAGACCTTGTAGTAGGTCTAATAATGGTTTCAGGTTTTGTTGTTTTGTTTTGTTCTTAGAGACAGGGTCTCACTCTGTCACCCAGGCTGGAGTGTAGTGCTACAATCATAGCTCACTGTAACCTTGAACTCCTGGGCTCAAGCTATCCTCCTGCCTCAACCTCCAGAGTAGTTAAGACTACAGGCATGTACCACCACATCCAGTGACTTTTAAAGTTTTTTGTAGAGATGGATCTCACTATGTTGCCCAGGCTGGTCTCGAACTCCTAGGCTCAAGCAATTCTCCTGCCTCAGCCTCCCAAAGTTCTAGGATTACAGGCATGAGCCACCGCATATGGCTTATATTTTGTTTCTTTTCTCATTCTTAATTATGCTGTTTTCTCTTTTTTTCTTGGTTTGATTTGCAGCTGCATTTTATGGTTCTTTTCAAAGAAATAGATATTGGGCCGGGCCAGGTGGCTCACGCCTGTAATCCCAGCACTTTGGGAGGCCAACGCGGGTGCATCACCTTAGGTCAGGAATTCAAGACCAGCCTGGCCCACATGGGGAAACCCTGTCTCTACTAAAAATAGAAAAATTAACCAGGCATGGTGATGCATGCCTGTAGTCCCAGTTACTCAGGAGGCTGAGGCAGGAGAATTGCTTGAACCCGGGAGGTGGAGGTTGCAGTGAGCCAAGATCACACCACTGCATGCCAGCCTGGGCAACAGAGCCAGACTCCGTCTCAGAAAAAAAAAAAAAAAAAAAAAAAAAAAAAGGACAGGCACGGTGGCTCACACCTGTAATCCCAGCACTTTGGGAGGCCAAAGTGGGCAGATCGCCTGAGGTCAGGAGTTTGAGACCAGCCTGGCCAACATGGTGAAACCCCATCTCTACTAAAAATACAAAAATAAGCTGGATGTGGTGGCGCGAGCCTGTAGTCCCAGCTACTTGGGAGGCTGAGGCAGGAGAATCACTTGAACCCAAGAGGTGGAGGTTGCAGTGAGCTGAGATTGTGCCACTGTACTCTAGCTTGGTGACAGAGCAAGAGTCCATCTCAAAAAAAAAAAAAAAAAAAAAAAAGAAATAGATACTGGAGTAACTGGAGTAACCCATAATGTCATCTTCTTTTTTCTAAATCACTAAATTGGGCTTTCATATTTATGAATATAAATGTTTTGATAGAGGTACAGCTTTGACTGTATTAAGTATGAAATGTAATGTTCTCATTTTTCTCTGCATAGTCTGTAATTGCAGCTTTTACTTCCTTTGTGACCCAGGCACTATTTAGAAGATGGCTATTAAATTTCTAAGTAACTAGATTTTTTAAAAATTTACACTTTTCCTAATGAGTTTAATTTTTGGGGTGTATATGAGTAAGATAATATAATCTGAACAACGCTTTTATACATATTTTTGTAAAAAATTTTTTTCAATGATTAATTTTTGCGGGTGATTCCATGAATGCTGGAAAAAGATACATTCATGATAGGAGAACGCTTATTCATTTGTAGAATTTATATCTTCTAAATCCTTATTATGTTCTTGTTCTGTTAAACTATTTTAGTACTGTTTTGGTTTCTGTCAACCTATAACAGCTTCTGCTTTGTGTATCTTGTTGCAATGTTATTTAATAAGCAAAGATTATCTCTTTATTATGAATTTTCTATTTTCAATATAAAATTACTTATCCCCCGTTTATCGCTTTTTGCCTTATGTTATACTTTGTTTTATATGTGCCACTTGCAAATTATATCAAGTTACATTTTCTTAACCCAAAATATAAATCTTGAGTTTTGTTGAGAAAATAAATAATATATAGCTAAGGAAGAGAAAAACAGAACAAACAGCCACACAGATTGTAACTGCTTATAAGAAGCCTTGTCTTTCAATAGGGAATTTTATTCCATGTACTTGTATTGTAATAACTGATATTTTTACTATTACTTTGCATTCTCTTTTATTCTTTCCCTTTGGTTGTGATTTCTTGTTATTCTCTTTTAGGAAAAAAAAACTTATATGCACACATATTTCCTACATAAAGGGTGAGATTTATATGAGTGTCTGCTTGGAGTTCAGTATTTCTTCTTCATGATGTTTTTCTTCCTATTTGATGGGAAATCTAGCATACTATCTCTCCCAACATTTTAAAGTTTTTGTTAGTAAAATAGGGGGCTTTAGATCCAATTTTTATTAAATTGTTATATTCTTTATGTAACGTTTGCCTTGACCACACAATTTTTTCAGATCTGTAATGATTTTAACTGGATCATTATTTACTACCATTTTCTCTTTAGTCATAATACCAACTCTCGATTTTGTTTTGTTTCTGTCTTGTACCTTCAAGACAGGCACATAGGTCCTCCCTTTACTAAGTCTTTGCATGGTTCAGAATATTTCTGCAGCCCTGGCAAACAGAGAACTTGGCTGGTATCTGATCCTTACTTAGGATACAACTTTTCCCATAAAACACATCTGTAGCCCTTGCTCCACTGTCTTTTGGCATTTTATTGTTATGAAGGAGGGGAATGAGACCAGTTTGTTTATTATTTTTAGCTCACTACATTTTTTCTGTCTGGATTCTTTTTTTCTTATATACAGAGTCTCACCCTGTCACCCAGGCTGGGGTGCAGTGGTGCAATAATAGCTCACTGCAGCCTCGAGCACCTGGACTCAAGTGATCCTCCTGCCTCAACCTCCTTAACCTCCCTGATCCTCCAGTCCCCACCTGAGACCACAGGTGTGCACCACCACATCCAGCTAATTTTCCATTTTTCATAGAGTGGGGTCTTGCTTTGTTGTCCAGGCTGGTTTCAAGCTACTGGCCTCAAATGATCTTCCCACCTCTCTGTCTGTATTCTTTAGTATTTAAAAAGTATTCTTATACTTCACATTTTTTTCATAATGCTTCTTCTACCTGGAGATCTTGTTCATCGATTTTGCCTAAGACACAGCAAACCCTTCACACCTAGCTAGATATATCATCCTCCTTCTAAGAAAAGTTTTCTTTTGTGATTACTTTAATTATTTACTTTGTTCCATTTTTTTCTGACCTTTTTTCTAAGAATAAACATTTCTCAAAAAGCAAAAACAGAAAGAAAGAAAAAGAATAAACATTTCTCAAATGGTATATCTCTGCTCTCTATCTTCTATATTTGTCATCTTTTCTTTTATAATTTTATTATTTATCCCTTTTCTCTGCATTTTATTAGAACTCCTGTTTGTTTTCAGCCGGGCGTGGTGGCTCATGCCTATAATCCCAGCACTTTGGGAGGCCAAGGCGGGCAGAAGATGAGGTCAAGAGATGGAGACCATCCTGGTGAAGATGGTGAAACCCCGTCCCTACTAAAAATACAAAAATTAGCTGGGCATGGTGGCGTGTGTCCGTAGTCCCAGCTACTTGGGAGGCTGAGGCAGGAGAATCGCTTGAACCCGGGAGGTGGAGGTTGCAGTGAGCCAAGATCATGCCACTGCACTCCAGCCTGGGTGACAGAGCGAGACTTCATCTCAAAAAAAAAAAAAAAAGAACTCCTATTTGTTTTCATCCTGGGTTTGATTTTCTTTAGCGTTTGTTCTGCTCTTTACATCCACCTGTGGGGAGTTTAATTCTGCTAATTTTTTTAGAAAATTTTAGAAAATGTATTGTAATCTTCTGTAATCTTTTTCCTTTTTATCCGCTTCTATTCTCCCTTCACCTCAGTTTGTCCTCTACTTCTATCTTTCATACATGTTTCATAGAGTTCAGGATTCCAAGCATGGCACTCTCTTGATATTTTCTTCTGAGTCCTAAAATATATAATTTTCAGCACTATATTCTGCCATCTTTCAGGATTTTGATCCCTTTCGCTTTTCTGTGTTTTCTATATTAGTTTTCATAGCCTTTTTTTTTTTTTTTTTTTTTTTTTGAGACAGGGTCTCACTCTGTCTCAAAGCGAGACCAGGCCGGAGTGCAGTGGCACAATCTCAGCTCACCGCAGACTCAACCTGCCAGGCTCAAGCCATCCTCCCACCTCAGCCTGTCAGGTAGCTGGGACTACAGGCACATGCCACCAAACCTGGGTAAGTTTATGTTTATTTTTTGTAGAGACAGTCTCACTATGTTGCTCAGGCTGGTCTCAAACTCCTGAGCTCAAGCGATCCTCTTGCTTTGGCCTCCCAAAGTGCTGGGATTACAGGTGTGAGCCACCACACTCGGCCTTTGTTGTAGTCTTTAAGGCTTAATGAGTGGCTTACCTCTAAAAGATAGAAACCTGTGGAGAGTAGTGTCCCCCGCTTAACAATAATAAGAAGTTGGCTAATCAACAAAATAACTTCCCCTGAACCTATCAGAGAGCTGAGGCCATAGAGCAACCAACTGGCCTGAGATCTCAGAAAACACAGGAGCCTCCAAAGAGACATGACCGTTGGCAGCAAAACAAAGACAGGATCACCACACAAGCTGGTACGAAGAATTGGGCGAATATTTTGAAATGAAATGCTAAAGTCTAGGTGTGGGCTAGTGCTAGAGTTTAAAGCTTCTGGGCTGGATGCAGTGGCTCACGCTTGTAATTTCAGCACTTTGGGAGGCCGAGGCAGGTGATTGCTTGAGCCCAGGTGTTTGAAACCAGCCTGGGCAACATGACGAAACCCCATCTATTTAAAAAAATGAAAAAAATTAGCCAGGGATGGTGGTGCACACCTGTGGGCCCAGCTACTTGGGAGGCTGAGGCGGGAGGATTGCTTGAGCCCAGGAGGCAGAGGTTGCAGTGAGCCAAGACTGTGTCACTGCACTTCAGCCTGGGTGGCAGAGTGATACCCTGTCTCGAAACAAACAAACAACAACAAAAACCTCTGTAAGGAAAAGCTGTCTCTTCACATTCTTTTATTTATTCATTCAGTTATTTTTCCATATTAGTATAGAAAGAGATTTTTACTTGAAAAAAAAAAAAACAGTGCCAGGTGGGGCAGCTTGGGGAGGCTGAGGCAGGAGAATCACTTGAGGCCAGGAGTTTGAGATCAGCCTGGGCAACATAGTGAGACTCTATCTCTACAAAAAAAAAAAAAAAAAACAAAATAAAAAAGCAATTAGCTCGACATAGTGGCCTATGTCTGTAGTCCCAGCTACTCAGGAGGCTGAGGTGAGAGAGTCACTTGAGCCCAGGGGCTCAAGGCTGCAGTGAGCAATCATCACAGCACTGCACTCCAGCCTGACTGACAGAGCAAGATCCTGCCTCAGAACAAAAAACAAAAACAAAAACAGTAAGTTTCCACAATAAGCACATTTCTCTTCTAGCTAAAATAACCGTGCCTCAAGCAAAGCACCTGTGACAAAAAATTCCCCAGTAGTATGCTCTTTGACAGCTAGGTTTGCCGTTCACAGTGTGGAGAGCAGATATCCCTGCTGGAGAGAGGTGCTGTTGTCCGCCCCAGTGACCCGGGGACCCCACTTACTGTAGCCCATCAAGGTGAGCGCTCCTATAAGCATGATCAGCGTCTGCAGGGCATCCGTGTAGATCACAGCAGCCAGGCCACCTGGTGGGATGAGCACGGAGGTGAGGGTCAGGGAGTCTAACGAGAAGGGGTTACTCTGGGTCACCAAGGGAACCTGGAAGGCCAGGACCCGATGGGAGATTTCTTAGTGCTGACTGATTGCAAAGATGGCCACGATCACTCCTCCCTGTGTGCACGCCCATTTTGCAATGTGACTTTGCTGCTCCTTTCACGTTGAGGTGAAGTTGATTTCTCCGCTTCTCACATGGGCTTGGCCACGTGACTTGCTTTGACCAATAGAATGTGGGGGAAGTGGTATGGGCCTCAAGGAGCCCTGCAGCTTCTGCACTTACTCTCCTGTTGCCCTGAGACCATTTGCTTTAAGAAGCCAGGTCTAACCTAGTGAAGGAAGAGGGCCCCCACGGAGGGGAAGCCCAGTCGACAGCCCAAGCTAACACCAGCCATGTGAGTGAGGCCATCCTCTTCCAGCCAGTTGCTCCACCTAACACCGAACTATAATTCGCAGAGCCAGGTTAGACTAGCAAATATCCACCCAGGAACCCATGGACTTGTGGGGAATAATAAACCATTGATTTTTCAAGCCCCTCAATTTGTGGGTGGTTTTTTAACACAGCAATTTTCAACTGATATAGGAAGTGGTGCTTAGGCCACAGTCCCCAAGCTCTGAACACCTTTAGTTATTTATTATTTATTTATTTATTTTTTAGAGCCAGGGTCTCACTCTGTCAACCCAGGCTGGAGTGTAGTGGCGTGATCATAGCTCACTGCAGCCTAGACTTCCTGGGCCCAAGTGATTGTCCTGTCTCAGTCCCCCAAGTAGCTAGGACTATAAGCATGAGCCACCATGCCTGGCTAATTTTTAACTTTTCTCTAGAGATGGAGTCTTGCTATGTTGCCCAGGGTGGGCCCGAACTCCTGGCTTCAAACAGTCCTCCTGCCTCGGCCTCCCAAGGTGCTGGGATTACGGGTGTAAGCAACTACACCCAGCCAACACCTTTATTTTTAAGACTGGATAAAGGATGTGAGTATTAGGTATTCAGAGGCCCCCTAGACTTCCTGGAGAGGATCGTGATGGTGCCTCAGAGGATTCTTGTTGGGTTTGCCACCTGCAAAAATCTTCGAAATGGGCTGGGAAAGATGGCTCATGCCTGTAATCCCAGCACTTTGGGAGGCTGAGGCAGACAGATCACCTGAGGTTAGGGGTTCAAGACCAGCCTGGCCAACATGGTGAAACCTTGTCCCTACTAAAAATACAAAAATTAGCCAGGTGTGATGGGGCATGCCTGTAATCCCAGCTACTCGGGAGGCTGAGACAGGAGAATCACTTGAACCCAGGAGGCAGAGGTTGCAGTGAGCCAAGATCGTGCCACTGCACGCCAGCCTGGGCAACAGAGCGAGACTCCATCTCAAAAGAATAAATAAATACATAAAAATTCATAATGATGATCCTGGTAGCAAATCCATCAGCATCTGGAAAGAGCAATCTTTCCAGTCTCTTCCTTAAACCTCTGTTCTTCCTCCTTCCCTGAGGAGAAGGGACACTTATCCAATAGAAACATGTCTACTAGAGGGCACAGTCACTGTACAATTTAAAAACCCTGTGCCCGTGGGTGAGGTGCTCTCCAGGATCCCTCCTTCCTTCCCAGCAGGAATAGGGCTCTCACAAAGGGGAGGAGAACTGGCTTTGATTCTGGCCTCAGTTCCCTGCCGTTCACGCATGCAGTGAGTCAGCCTGAGTGTGGTGAGATCCTGGTGTTGGGTACCACTTAACCCCACCATCCTTTCTATATTAACAGTGATGAGAATCTCTCATATGCCAGGCACTGTGGGGATCATTTTGTTCAGTCTTTCACCAAATAGCCGGTGAGCTCCCCACCAAGTTCTACGTGGTAGGGATGCAGAGGCCAACAAAATGGCATGTTCCCTGCCCTCATAGAGTCTACAGTCTAATGGGGGACACAGACCTCCAAACAAGGAACACCAACATTCATCAGCTATGGCAGCCTGCCCTCCCCTTTTCCCCTGCCCCAGGCACATTGCTTCTGCTAGTTCTGAGAACTCAGCCAAGGTCTTTCTGTATCAGGGGACTTTGCATATGTTAGATTTTGTCAATTTTCTGTTTAGAGCATCCAATAGTATTCCATGGCACTTAGAACAAATGTAAGGCTCATTTTGTTTCCTTCAAAGCTCTGGTCCCTGCCCTTTTCTCCAATCCCACTCTTACCACCAGGGTTGCTGCTTAGCACAGTGCCACGGGGTGCCATTTTCACTCTGGTTGGTGTGAATGGCACCCCCTGGAGTGGAATAGGGCACAGCCTACATAACCATTTGCTCAAGCAGGTTCTCATCTCAGAGTGTTTACTGCAGCCCTTCTCTCAGCCTGGAATTCTCCTCCCCTGCATTGCTCATGGGGTGTTATTTAAACTTGGTTGAGATACGAAAAAATGCTCATCATCGCTAATCATCAGAAAAATGCAAATCACAGGCCGGGCACAGTAGTTCACATCTGTAATCCCAGCATTTTGGGAGGCTGATGCAGGCGGATCACTTGAGGCCAGGAGTTCAAGACCAGCCTGACCAACACAGTGAAACCCTTTCTCTACCATAAAATACAAACGTTAGCCGGGCATAGTGACTGGCACCTGTAGTCTCAGCTACTTGGGAGGCTGAGGCAGGAGAATCACTTGAACCTGGGAGATGGAGGTTGCAGTGTGCCAAGATTGCACCATTGCACTCCAGCCTGGGCAACAGAGGGAGACCCTGTCTCAAAAAAAGAAAAACAAACAAACAAACAATCAAACAAAAACAAATCACTACCACAATGAGATATCATCTCACACCAGTCAGAACAGCTTTTTTTTTTTTTTAATTTGAGTTTCGCTCTGTTGCCCAGGCTGGAGTGCAGTGGCACGATCTCAGATCACTGCAGCCTCTGCCTCCAGGGTTCAAGCGATTCTCCTCCCTCAGCCTCCCAGGTAGCTGGGATTACAGGTGCCCGCCACCACGCCTGGCTAATTTTTTTGTATTTTTAGTAGAGACAGGGTTTCACTATATTGGCCAGGCTGGTCTCGAACTCCAGACCTCAGTTGATCCTCCTGCCTTGGCCTCCCAAAGTCCTGGGATTACAGGTGTGAGCCACTGTGCCCGGCCAGAACAGCTTTAAACTTAAAAACAATTAAGAAGTCAAAAGATAACCGACGTTGGCGAGGTTGTGGAGAAAAGGAAATGCTGATGCACTGTTGGTGGGAGTGTGATATGGTTTGGCTCTGTGTCCCCACCCAAATCTCATGTTGAATTGTAATCCCCGCGTGTTGGGGGAGGGTCCTGGTGGGAGGTGATTGGATTATGGGGGTGATTTTAATGATTCAGCACCATCCCCAGTGCTGTCTGGTGATAGAGTTCTCATGAGAATTGGTTGTTTAAAAGTGTGTAGCACTAGGCCAGGCACGGTGGCTCATGCCTGTAATCCCAGCACTTTGGGAGGCCGAAGCGGGCAGATCACCTGAGGATGGGAGTTCGAAACCAGCCTGACCAACATGGAGAAACCCTGTCTCTACTAAAAACACAAAATTAGCTGGGCATGGTGGCACGTGCCTGTAATCCCAGCTATTTGGGAGGCTGAGGCAGGAGAATTGCTTGAACCCAGGAGGTGGAGGTTGTGGTGAGCTGAGATTGCACCATTGCACTCCAGCCATGAAAGAGTAAGTCTCCATCTCAAAAAGAAAAGAAAAGAAAAAAGTGTGTAGCACCTCCCGCTTCACTCTTTCTCTCCGGCTCCATCATGGTAGGACGTGCTTACTTCCCCTTTGCCTTCCACCATGACTGTAAGTTTCCTGAGGCCTCCTAGCCATGCTTCCTGTTAAGCCTGTGGAACTGTGAGTCAATTAAACCTCTTTTTTTTTTCATAAATTATCCAGTCTCGGGTAGTTCTTCATAGCAGTGTGAGAATGGACTAATACAGAGTGTAAATTAGTTCAGCCACTGTGGAGAGAGAACTGAGAATTGAATTATCATTTGACCAGCAATCCCACTACTGGGTATGTACCCAAAGGAAAATAAGTCATCCTACCAAAAAGACACATGCCCTCATATGTTCATCACAATACTACGCACAATAGCAAAGACATGGAATTGACACAGGTGCCCATCAACAGTGGATTGGATAAAGAAAATATGGTACAGATATACCACGAAATACTACACAGCCATTAAAAAGGACAAAATCATAACCTTTGCAGCACATGAATGCAGCTGGAGGCCCTTATCCTAAGTGAATTAATGCAGGAACAGAAAACCACTCACTTATTTGTTTATTTTCTTTTTCTTTGAGATGGGGTCTTGCTCTGTTGCCCAGGCTGGAGTGCAGTGGTGTGATCTCCATTCACTGCAACCTTGCAACCTCTGCCTCCTGCGTTCAAGAGATTCTCCTGCCTCAGCCTTCCACATAGCTGGGATTACAGGCACCTGCCACCACACTCTGCTAATTTTTGTATTTTTAGTAGAGAATGGGTTTCACCATGTTGGCCAGGATGCTCTGGAACTCCTGACCTCAGGTGATCTTCCCACCTTGGCCTTCCAAAGTGCTGGGATTACAGGAGTGAGCCACCATGCCTGGCCCACCTGTTCTCACATATAAGTGGAAACTGAATAAACATTGGGTACTCATGGACTTGAATAAGGGAATTGGGGACTACTAGAGGAGGGAGAGGGAGGGGGATACCAGTTGAAAAACTACCCATTGGGTACTATGCTCACTACGTGGACTAATGGATCCATTCGTACCCCAGACCTCAGCATCATGCAATATACCTATTAACAAACCTGCATGTACCTCCTGAATCTAAAATCAAAGTCGAAGGTGAAAAAAAAATTGGTTGAGATATCACCTTAGAGAGGCCTTAGCTGAATATTCTATGTAAAAAAAAAACAAAAAACCAAAAAAAACCTGTCCTCCATCTCTTCACCCCAATTAATTTTTCCTTATAGCACTTCTCAGGTTATAATAATATACACTGACATATTTATTTATTTATTTTTGAGACAGAGTCCCACTCTGTTGCCCAGGCTGGAGTGCAGTGGTGTGATCTTGGCTCACTGCAACCTCCGCCTCCTAGGTTCAAGTGATTCTCTTGCCTCAGCCTCCCGAGTAGCTGGGATTACAGGCATGTGCCATCATGCCCAGCTAATTTTTCTGTATTTTTAGTAGAGACCGGGTTTTGCCATGTTGGCTAGGCTGGTCTAGAACTCCTGATCTCAGGTGATCCACCCGCCTCGGCCTCCCAAAGTGTTGGGATTACACACGTGAGCCACCACACCTGGCCTAACATTATTTATTGATTTCCCTGTTCATTGTCTCCCATCCTCAATAAGTTCCTCTGGAGTAGAGATATTTGTCTTGCTTACATCTGTGCCTCACTCCCTGGCATGATGTCTGGCACACAGTAGGAAATGTATATCCATATACACATACCTGTGTATGTAAATACATGATATATAGATACAAGGTACATAATATAGAGATACCAGTGTGTTTGTGTCTGTGCACACACAGGCACACACAGACACAAACAGACACACACATATATATGGAATGAGTTATATCAAGCCAAGAGGAGGCGGAAAAGGGTGAAAATAGAGTGGAAGATGAGATAATAAATATTTAAAAACAGGTACTTCTCAAGGCCCTACTGCGTGCCAGGCACTCTTCTAGGATACAGGTATGAGGCGGAGAGATGAGGTTACCTGCCCTCAGGCTCCAGGATTGCAGTAGTTTATTATCCAGCCTTGTATTGTGCCTGTGAGTGCACATGGCTCAGCAGTTAGTAGGTGCTCAAGAAACAGTTCTGGGATACATGAATGGGAAAAAACATTATGCCATTGTGGTGCATTTTAAAAATGCTTTATCTTTTTTTATTCTGAGACGGAGTCTCGCTCTGTCACCCAGGCTGGAGGGCAATGACACCATCTTGGCTCACTGCAACGTCCGCCCCACCGGGGTTCAAGCGATTCTCCTGCCTCAGCCTCCTGAGTAGCTGGAATTACAGGAGTCTGCCAGCATGCCCGGCTAATTTTTTGTTGTTGTAGTTGTGAGCTGGTGTCTCGCTCTGTCACCCAGGCTGGAGTGCAGTGGCGCGATCTTGGCTCACTGCAACCTCCGCCTCCCGGGTTCAAGTGATTCTCCTGCCTCGGCCTCCTGAGTAGCTGGGATTTCAGGCACGGGCCATCATGCCTGGCTAATTTTTGTATTTTTAGTAGAGATGGGGTTTTGCCATGTTGGTCAGGCTGGTCTTGAACTCCTGACCTCGTGATCCACCCACCTTGGCCTCCCAAAGTGCAGGGATTACAGGCGTAAGCCACCGTGCCTGGCCTAATTTTTCTATTTTTAGTAGAGATGGGATTTTGCCATGTTGGCCAGGCTGGTCTGGAATTCCTGGCCTCAAGTGATCCACCTGCCTCGGCTTCCCAAAGTGCTGGGATTACGGGCATGAGCCACCGAGCCCAACCTAAAAAGCTTTATCTTATCAGGTAACCCCCTTCCTTTGGATAATGGTCAGGAGAAATCTTTTTATCTAGGGTAAAGGAGTGACGTTTAATGAATAAATGGGTCTTAGCACAATGGAACATCAGAAGATGGGCAAGGAGAAGGTAGAGTGGCCCACAGCCCCTGCCCACTGCCTCTGCTAGGTGTTACCCTTTGTTCAGTCTTACCAGCAACCGTGTATACAGCAGTGATGGCCAGTAGCCCAACTATGGCCAGGTACAGATCCAGGTGCAAAGACTGCTGGATGAAGATGGCACCTGCATACATGTCTACCTGTGAAGAAAGGAGGTTGATGGATGAACAAATGAACGAATGAATGAATGAGTGGACATTTGCAGCACAGGTTCCCTGGGATCAGGGCCTAGCCTAGATGCTGACAAACACAGAAGAGTCATACGTCATCCCTTGTTAATCCACTGCATCCCAGATCAGGGGTCTTCAGCTGGAGCCCTGTGGGCCCTGGGCTGATGCAGCAGCCTCCTCAATGGTCTTCCTGCTTCTGCTTTTGGTCCTCTCCCACTCCATCTTCCACACTGCAACCTTCATTAAATACCATAATGATCACATCACCCTTCTCCTCCCCACTCAAACTCTTAAGTGACTCCCCCATTGCCCCCAAGATAAAGGCTAAATAAATGAGGCTAAATACTCACTTCGTACTCCCAGACCTCCACAGACTCTGAAATACCCTCTGTTTCTCAACAAGTCATGTGTACCTGGGCCTCCCAGATTTCACTTGTGCTGGTGCTTCCGTCTGGAGGGCCAATCCCCTTTCTCTAACTGTAAGTTCCTCCTGGGATGTAACTTCCCCTAGAAGGCTTCCCACATCTGCAGCTTCCCACCAGACTGCAAGTGAACATTCTAGAAAGGAGCCTGTGTTGTCTGTCCTGCAGTCTGGAGCTGGCGTAGATTCACTTATTGTTGTTTGGATTGAACGGAACCCCTTCTGCTCCCCCTCACCCCTTCCCATAGGACAAGCTCCTCCCTCCTCCCTGGCTGGAAGCGAAGACAGCTTCTGCTGAGGGGCACATGTCTGGAGGTTGCAATACACCTGTTCTTTGCCACTTCCTAGGAGATCTGCCCATCCAAAGGTCAGGGTGGGGCAGCGCAATCAGCCAACAGCACATCGGATAAACAGCTGATCACTGTCTAATTCCAGGAGGAAGAGAACAGTCCTATCCAAGGGTTGGCAGGGTTCTTGGAGTCCCATTGATCAACCCACATCATCCTGAGATGTTGACAAAGAAGCTTTGGCAGGAGTAGGAGAGAAAGTCCTTCCCTCCTTTCCTCTACCTTTTCTCCCAATTTCTTCTTTTTTTTTTTTTTCTTTTTTTTGACACAGAGTCTCGCTCTTTCACCCAGGCTGCAGTACAGTGGCATGATCTTGGCTCACTGCAACCCCCGCCTTCTGGGCTCAAGCAATTCTCCTGCCTCAGCCTCCCGAATAGCTGGGACTACAGGCATCAGCCACCACGCCTGGCTAATTTTCGTATTTTCTGGTAGAGATGGGGTTTCGCCATGTTGGCCAGACTGGCCTCAAACTCCTGACCTCAAGTGATACACCTGCCTCAGCCTCCCAAAGTGCTGAGATTACAGGCGTGAGCCACTGCACCCAACCATTTTCTCCCAATTCCCTCTGTCCACGCTTACCTCCCCCCATGCCATCTTCCTCTAATCTCCCTGCAGCCTATGAAAGACGAGGAGAAAGGGGATAGCGAGGAGACACTCCTGAGCAATGATCTGTGCCTTATCTTCTCCCCATGCTGCATGGGTGAGGCCAGGCTGTGTCCCTGCCTTACCGAGATCTTGGTGAAGATGTAGATAAATAGGTAGAGTACAGCCAGGATGATGGGGATTCTGATGCCACCGAAGCGCTTCCGTAGGTATTCTGGCATCGTGGTGACCTGAGGGCCAGAGCTGAGATTTCACCACCAGCGGACTTCACCACCAGCACGTGACCCCCCCACACAAGCCCTTCCCATCTGCTCCTGCCCCCGCAACTCAGAGCACAGATGGTCTTCTTGGGATTCTCAACCTGATACTTAAGAAGGGAGGAGAGGGGCCCAGCACAGTTGGTTCCCATCACTTTGGGAGACTAAGGCAAGGGGAATCACTTGAGTGCAGTTTGAGACCAGACTGGGCAACATGGTGAAACCCCATTTCTACAAAAAATACAAATTTAGTCATGCGTGGTGACAGGCGCCTGTAGTCCCAGCTACTCAGGTGGCTGAGGTGGAAGGATCACTTGAGCCTGAGCTCAGGAGGTCGCGGGTGCAGTGAGCCATGATCATGCCATTGCACTCTAGCCTAAGTGACAGGGAGACCCTGCCTCAAAAGACATACATATGGTAGACAAAAACAAATTCTAGGCGGATAATAGATTTAATTGTGAGGCCATGCACGATGGCTTACACCTGTAATCCTAGCACTTTAGGAGGCCAAGGTGGGAGGACTGCTTGAGCCCAGGAGTTCAAGACCAGCCTGGGCAACATCTCTATTGCTACAGTAAGACCCCATCTCTATTTTTTTTTAAAGACATATAACCTAATAGAAAAATGGACAAAAGTCCTAGACAAGTTACTTCCTCAAAGAGGAAATCCAAATGGCCGGAAAATGTATAAAAAGAGTTGCCAATTAAAAACAGTGAGATGGCCAGGTGCGGTGGCTCAGGCCTGTAATCCCAACACTTTGGGAGGTGAGGTGGGAGGATCATCTGAGGTCAAGAGTTCAACACCAGCCTGGACAACTTGGCGAAACCCCGTCTCTACTAAAAATACAAAAATTAGCTGGGCATGGTGGCTGTAGTCCCAGCTACTGGGGCAGTGTGTGTGTGGTGGGGGACGGAGTGAGGCAGGAGAATCAAGAATTGCTTGAACCCAGGTAGGCGGAGGTTGCAGTGAGCTGAGGGCACGCCACTGCACTCCAGCCTGAGCGACAGAGCAAGACTCTGTCTCAAAAAAATTTTAAAAAGCAGTGAGATATCACTACACATGCACCAAATTCGCAAGAATCTTTAAGTTGGAGAATATAAAATGTAACCAAGGATACGCTGAATTGCAGGAAAGGGAATTTTCATACACTGCTGGTGGGAATATAAATGGATAGAACTACTCTGGGAAAATGTTTGTCAATATCTTGTAAAGCCAAAGATGAACATATCCAATGACCTAGAAATTCCACTTAGAGGTAGATTCTCTCACCAATGCTTGTCTATGTGTAGAAGAACACATTTATAAAAATGTTCACAGCAGTGCTGTCTATCATAGACCAATACTGGGAGCAACTTAAACGCCCATGCACAACAGAATGGATAAATATATTGGAATGTGAGTCACACTACACGATACCGCATAGCAATGAAAATTAACACATCAGCTACATGTAACAAAAGAATATTACCTCCAAGCTGGGTGCGGTGGCTCACACCTGTAATCCCAGCACTTTGGGAGACTGAGGTGGGTGGATCACCTGAGGCCAGGAGTTCAAGAACAGCCTGGCCAACATGGGGAAACCCCATCTCTACTAAAAATACAAAAAGTAGTCGGGCGTGGTGGTGTGCACCTGTAATCCCAGCTACTTGGGAGGTTGAGGGAGGAGAATTGCATGAACCCAGGAGGCAGATGTTGCAGTGAGCTGAGATCATGCCACTGCAACTCCAGCCTGGGCAGCAGAGCGAAACTCTGCCTCAAAAAAAAAAAAAAAAATTACTCCAGTTTTCAATTATCTATGACCCACCCTTCACCAAAAAAAGTAAAATTCAACTGCATTGTTCAGGTATGCAGAATTAAAACTGTAAATAAAAGCAAGGGAGTAATTACTTAATAGGAAAGCCAAGGAGAAGGGAAGGCATTGTGATTTTTCTTTTTTAGAGACGGGGTCTCGCTGTGTCACCCAGGCTGGAGTGCAGTGGTACAATCATAGCTCACTGCAGCCCTGATCTCCTGGGTTCAAGCAATCAATCCTCCTCCTCAGTCTCCCATCCTCTTGCCTCAGCCTCCTGACTAGCTGGGACTAAAGGTGCACACCACCAGTCTCAGCTAATTCTTTATTTTAATTATTTTTGTAGAGATGGGGGTCTCACTGTGTTGCCCAGGCTGGTCTCAAACTCCTGGCTTCAAGCAATCCTCCCACCACAGCCTCCCAAAGAGCTGAGATTATGGCCCTGAGCCACTGTGCCCAGCCAGCATTGTGATTTTCTAAAGGCTTGCAGGGTACATTATATTTATTTCCTTCCTTCCTTCCTTCCTTCCTTCCTTCCTTCCTTCCTTCCTTCCTTCCTTCCTCCCTCCCTCTCTCCATTCCTTCCTTTCTCTCTTCCTTCCTTCTTCTCCTTTCCCTTTCCCTTTTCCCCTTTCCCCTTTCCTTTCCTTTCCTTCTTTCCTTTCCTTTCCTTCTGACGGAGTCCCACTCTGTCACCCAGGCAGGAGTTAAGTAGTGTGATATTGGCTTACTTTACTCCACCTCCTGGGTTCAAGCAATTCTCCCACTTCAGCCTCCCGAGTAGCTGGGACTACAGGCACCTGCCACCACATCTGGCTAATTTTTGTATTTTTAGTAGAGACAGGGTTTCACCATGTTGGCCAGGCTGGTCTTGAACTCCTGACCTCAAGTGATCTGCCTGCCTCAGCCTCCCAAAGTGCTGGGATTACAGGCGTGAGCTACCGCACCTGGCTGACATTATGTTTTCTGTCTTGATGTGGGTGTTCCTTTTACAATAATTTGTCAAGCTGCACTTTTGTGTTTGTTTTGTGTGTGTGTGTGTGTGTCTTATTGCTTTTCTGAATGTCTATTTCATGTCCTAATAAAAACAAATTGGGTAGCTTTTGAACTTTTCTCAACACTTTGGCATTTATTATCTAGGATGGGGTTAACCTCTCCTTTGTATAAGTGTAAGATATTGCCCAAAGGATGTCTAGATCTAGGAGATTTTATTTTCTTATTTAACAATAGCTTGGAGATCAGCATACCTCTGTGGACTTCATCCCTTGTCACAGCATGAAATGGTATACCCCGGCTGTCCAGTTCCTTATTAATGGACATGGTGGTTGTTCCCAGGTTTTTCTATTACAAACAACTACTGCAGCCATTTCAGTTCTTTGCATCTGGCTATCTGGCTGGTACAGTGGCTCATGCCTGTAATCCCAGCACTTTGGGAGGCTGAGGCGCACGAGGTCAGGAGTTCGAGACCAGCCTGACCAACATGGTGAAACCCCGTCTCTACTAAAGATACAAAAATTAGCTGGGCGTGGTGGTGGGCGCTTGTAATCCCAGCTACTCGGGAGGCTGAGGCAGAGAATTGCTTGAACCTGGGAGGTGGAGACTGCAGTGAGCCAAGATTGTGCCACTGCACTGCAGCCTGGGTGACAGAGTGAGACTCCATCTCAAAACAAACAAAACAAAACAAAACAAAAACAAACTTTGCATCTTCTCAACCTAAAGCAAGTTCCTTTCTCACTCTCAGCTGATGACATCATCTTCTGTTTGCCAGAGAACATGGAAGCCATCGGGTGAGAATGTCTGGCAACCCTAAATATTTACTCACCTGCATCTCTACCATCATATATGCCTTCCTGTAGTAGGTGCTCAATAACTTTCTTGATGCCTTGACTCGGAGAGCTTCATTTCCAGTCCAGTGTTGTTATACCTCAGATGCTGTGTCTACATGGGAGCTAGCCACAGGGGTCAGGAGCAGACCCAGGCCCCCTGCTCACCAAAGGTCTTGCTTTCAGACTTTTGGGATTACCTCCAAGGGAGGTTACTTACCCATATATCCCTGCCCTTAATACAGAATTGAACTATTCTCTGTCACTCAGGCTAGACTGCAGTGGCGTGATCATAGCTCACTGCAGCTTCCAACTCCTGGGCTCAAGTGTTCCTCCCACTTCATCCTCTGGAGTAGCTGGGACCACAGGCACTCGCCACCAGGCCCGGCTAATTTAAAAAAAATCTTTAGTAGAGATGAGGTCTTGCTCTGTTGCCCAGGCTGGTCTTGAAATCCTGGACTCAAGTGATTCTCCCCGCATGGCCTCCCAAAGTGCAGGGATTACAGGCATGAGCCACTGCATCCAGCCAGAAGGATTTTTAACATGATTTCTGACTCCTAAGCTTTTTCTACGTGTGTGTGTGTGTGTGTGTGTGTGTGTGTGTGTGTGTGTGTGTGTTTTTGAGACAGGGTCTCATTCTGTCCCCCAGACTGGAGTGCTGTGGCACAATTATGGCTCACTGTAGCCTCAACCTACCGGTCTCAAGTTATCCTAATCCTCCTGCCTCAGCCTCCTGAGTATCTGAGACTGTAGGTGTGCATCACCACACCCAGCTGATTTTTGTATTTTTGGTAGAGATGGGATTTTGCCATGTTGCCCAGGCTGGTCTCGAACTCCTGGCCTGAAGCAATCCACCCAACTCGGCCTCCCAAAGTGCTGGGATTACATACATGAGCCACCATGCCCAGCCTACTTTGCGTATTTTTTAACATTTCCATAATAAAAAGCTAAAATCAGTTATTGCTTTATGAACAACACTGTGATATTGTGTGATCTTGCCATGTGCAATAGAACATCTAGAACAGAATAAAGGTTAGAAAGTATGAATGATACAATGCTGCCAGTGAGATCATAGATGATTTTTTAAAAACTGCTTTTCAGGCCAGGCATGATGGCTCAGGCCTGTAATCCCAGCACTTTGGGAGGATTACGAGGTGGGTGGATCACGAGGTCAGGGGTTCCAGACCAGCCTGGCCAACATGGTGAAACCCCATCTCTACTAAAAATACAAAAATTAGCTGGGGGGGGGTGGTGGGCGCCTGTAATCCCAGCTACTTGGGAGACTGAGGCAGGAGAATTGCTTGAAACCGGGAGGCAGAGGTTTGCAGTGAGCCGAGATCACACCATTGCACTCCAGCCTGGGCAAGAGCAAAACTCTGTCAAAAAAAAAAAAAAAACCCACAAAAAAATGCTTTTCAAAGAGTCAAAAGTAGCATTATTTTGTAACTAAAACGTTGACATTTTGTACCAGTCAGAAATAGCTCAATTATTATAGTTTTGTGTGCAAAGGAAGAAAAAAAATCACTGAATCATATACGTGATTTTAAAATATATATATGGTTTAAAATATATATATATATATATATATATATATATATATATATATATATATATATATATATATGATTGAGACAGGGTCTCGCTCTGTCATACAGGCTGGAGTGCAGTGGTGTGATCTCAGCTCACTGCATCCTCTGCCTCCCGGGCTCAAGCAATTCTTATGGCTCCTCAGCCTCCTGAGTAGCTGGGATTACAGGTGCTTACCACCATGCCTGGCTAATTTTTGTATTTTTTTAGTAGAGACAGGTTTTCACCATGTTGCCCAGCCTGGTCTCGAACTCCTAGGCTCAAGTGACCTGCCTGCCTTGGCCTCCCAAAGTGCTAGGATTACAGGCATAAGCTATATACTTTTATTTTTATTTTTTAGCAAAAAGCAGAAACATAGGCTGGGCATGGTGGCTTATGCCTGTAAGTCCAGCTACTCAGATTGGGAGGCTGAGGTGTGCAGATCACTTGAGCCCAGGAGTTCGAGACCAGCCTGGGTAACATGGCAGGATTTTTGTATTTTCTACTAAAAAAAAAATGCAAAAATTAGCTGGGTGTGGTGGCTTGCATCTGTGGTCCTAGCTGCTGGGGAGGCTGGTGAGACCAGGTGAGCCAAGATTGCACCACTGCATTCCATCCTGGGGACAAAGCCAGACCCTGTCTCAAAAAAATATAGCAGAAACATGTTGTGATTTAAACATTTAAAAGAGATTGTGAGCTTTACATTTGTGTTTTGGTATTTAAAATTTTGGGGTCCATATTTTTTCCAACCTCCAAATGCCTTCTGTGTGCCTTGGATGTTGGGTACTGGCAGGAAGTGCTATGGACTGGGTTCCTCATTGTCTCACCTGTGGATCATCCCTCCCCTTTACTGGGGCCTCTGAGTGGCAATCGAATACATGACCATGGGCAGGAGGGAGGGATGGCGGGATGAGGGAGGGACTGCAGGGCTGAGATTCCCAAAGCATCTTTCAATTCTACAGCATCCCAATGTCCCCCGACTCACCTGACCAGCAATGTAGATGGGTAGGAAGATCCAGGCCAACATCAGCACAGAAAACAAGCCCTGCTCAAGAAAACACAGTCAGGACTTGGCCCCCAGCTCACAACAAGGTACCCATTTGGATTTCCCTCTGCGCCCTGAGGCAGCCTGGCCTGAACTCCACCTCTGGTGTAGTCTCTTACTCGCTGAGTGGTTCACCTGTGCTGGCCTTCAAATTTCCTTTTTTAACATGGGGAATGGATTCGGGAAGGAAGAGGAGAGTGGAAAAAGAAGGCCTTTGCGATGCTTCCTAGTTCTGTGTCTCCTAAACATCATGTCATCACTTCATCCAGTTGTGCCCCCTCCCCTCCTCAGCAGTGATTAAAACAAGACCATGACAGCAGGCAGATCTGGGTTCAAAGACGACCACAAGAGTTAACACAGGTCTCCGAGACTCATTTTTCTCACCTGGAAAATGGGCATATCAGTGCCTCACTAAGTGGTTGCAAGGAAATCAGGAAGATGATACTTAATGAGTACTGTATGCCAGGCGCCTCTCTGCACCCTTTACAAGCATTAATTCATTTGACCCTCATAATGGTTCTACATAACAGGTACCATTAATATGCCTATTATGTACATGAGGCTCAGAGAGGTTAAGAAACTTGCCCAGCTGGGTGCGGTGAGTCACGCCTGTAATCCCAGCACTTTGGCAGGCAGAAGCCAGTGGATCGCTTGCACCCAGGAGTTTAAGACCAACCTGAGCAACATAGTGAAATTCCCGTCTCTACAAAAAAATATGAAAATTAGCTAGGCATGGTGGCGTGCACCTGTGGTCCCAGCTACTTGGGAGGCTGAAGTGGGAGGATGGTTTGAGCCTGAGAGGTGGAGGTTGCAGTGAGCCATGACCACACCACTGCACTCCAGCTTGGGCGACAGAGCGAGACCCTGTCTCAAAAAACAAAACAAAACAAAACAAACAAGCAGAAATAACACTTGCCACCCAAGGTCACACAAAAAGCAACTTGCTGCTGAAGTTTATACGTGTTGGAGCAAGAATGTAAACCCAGGCAGTGTGGGTCTAATTTGTAAATGAATCCTATAATGTGATAGCATATGGAACATATCAAAGTCTGTTCCTGGCATAGAATAAGCATCCAAAAATATTGGACATTATGAAGGCAATGATCATTATTAATAATCCCCTCCCTGCCCTGACCCCAGTAAAAATCATATCCCAAATGAGCCCTGCTATATACGAGAGTGTATCTTATCCCTTGAGTATCTCAGAGGTAGCAAACAAAGTCAAAAACTACTGAGCTGTAAAATTTTTGTGATGGCCGATTGACGTCTAAAGTACACAGAAATACGCTTCAGTCTTCACCATCTTTCTTCTGCATCTCTAGGACAGGAATCTGAGCCCTCTTCTTCACACACCCTTTTTTTTTTTTTTTTTTTTTTTGTGAGACAGAGTCTCACTCTGTCGCCCAGGCTGAAGTGCAGTGTTACAATCTCACCTCACTGCAGCCTCTGTCTCCCAGGTTCAAGTGATTCTCCTGCCTCAGCCTCCTGAGTAGCTAGGATTACAGGCATGCACCACCAAGCCTGGCTAATTTTTGTATTTTTAGTAGAGATGGAGTCTCACCATGTTGGCCAGGCTGGTCTCAAACTCCTGACCTCAAAAGATCCGCCCACCTTGGCCTCCCAAAGTGCTGGGATTACAGGCCTGAGCCATCGCGCCCAACCCACTATTGTTTTTTTTTTGTGTTTTTTGGGTTTGTGTGTGTGTGTGTGTGTGTGTTTTTTTTTGTTTTTTTTGTTTTGTTTTGTTTTGTTTTTTTGTGGGGAGGGGGACGGAGTTTCACTCTTGTCACCCAGGCTGGCGCGCAGTAGTGCAATCTCTGCTCACTGCAACCTCCGCCTCCCGGGTTCAGATGATTCTCCTAACTCAGCCTCCCGAGTAGCTGGGATTACGGCGCCCGCCATTACACTCGGCTAATTTTTTGTATTTTTAGTAGAGACGGGGTTTCGCCACGTTGGCCAGGCTGGTCTCGAACTCCTGACCTTAGGTGATCCACCTGCCTTGGCCTCCCAAAGTGCTGAGATTACAGGCGTGAGCCACCGCGCCTGGCCCCACCATTCTATTTTTAAAGTGCAGGGCATTCACACAACTTTCCCCTGAGATCTACCTGTTAGGTAGAGGTAAGATGTCATCTATGCCCTAGGTAAAATACTTACATTAAGTTCATAAGCTGATACAGAAATGCCCGTAGCAGCACCTGACCCTGCCAGGCCAATGAAATGTCCACTTCCAACATTGCTGGCAAACAAGGATGCACCCACCTGTGGGGAGATGGACGGGTCAGATCTTGGAGACAAAGTCAAGGGTACCTGCTCCCCACCCCCAATTATTTCCATGCTCCAAAGGGACAGAGAAGAGAAGTAGAGGAAGGCAGGGCCACCCCTAGCCTATCTGGCATTTTTGTTTACATTAGAATGAGATTCTTCTTCCCCAAGACTCTTACTTGGTCAGAGCCCACCTGTCAGAAATTGGTAGAATAAATATTCAGGACTACAGGGCCTAAAATGCAGATTGCACCCTGTAGGGTTGTGCAGTGCACAGCTTCAACAACTATATGCAGTATCCCTGCGGGGGTCGGGGGTCGGGAAAGAAGGTGACAGGTAATGTAGAAAGTGATTCATGATGAGAATCAGGAAGCCTGTGTTACTCCCCCAGATCTGCTTCTTACTTATCAAAGTAGATAGTCTTCTTGGTATAGCACTAAATGGCTAGTGCTGTACTTGCTGATGCCAATCCCTGGTCTCCCTGGTCTCAACTGATTGGGCTGGACAGGCCTGGGTACCTGGCCCAAGCTGAGCAAATTATATTCTCTTTCCTGGGAATTTGGAACGGGGACACCGTCTCTGCGGGTCCCTTGGACTGGAGATATTGAACCAGTGAGGTGTGTGTGTGCTGGGGGTGAGGGAGTGGTGTGGAGGCATGTTTCACCCTGTGCTGCTCATCACTGCCAGTTCAGAGACAGGGGAGAATGAGACCTGCAAGAAAGGCAGGTCCAGCCGGGCGCTCTGGCTCACGTTTGTAATCCCAGCACCTTGGGAGGCTGAGGCAGGCGGATCACTTGAGGTCAGGAGTTTCAGACCAGCCTGGCCAACATGGTGAAACCCCGTCTCCACTAAAAATACAAAAGTTAGCTGAGCGTGGTGACACATGCCTATAATCCCAGCTATTCAGGAGGCTGAGGCAGGAGAATCGCTCGAGCCCGGGAGGTGGAGGTTGCAACGAGCCGAGATTGCACCACTGCACTCCAGCCTGGACGACAGAGACTCCGTCTCAAAAAAAAAAAAAAAGGCAGATCCAGTGAGGAGGGGAAAGGAGGGAGCAAGAAGAAAAAGAGGAGGAGGAGGAAGGAAAGGAGGAGGAGAAGGGTGAAGGAAGAGAAGAGAGGAGAGAGAATTGTGAAAGAGCCATTTTACCTCCTTATTGACTTTCCTGTCTCTGCTTCTTATCAAATTCTATTTCATGGATTTCATGTTTATCCTTCTGTCAGTATCATATTCTTTTGATTACTGTAGCGTTGTAGTAAGTTTTCAAATTGGGAAGTGTGAGTCTCTTTTTTTTTTTTTTTGAGGCGGAGTCTTGCTGTCTCCCAGGCTGGAGTGCAGTGGTGTGATCTCAGCTCACCGCAAGCTCCATCCCCCAGGTTCATGCCATTCTCCTGCCTCAGCCTCCCGAGTAGCTGGGACTACAGGCGCCCGCCACCACGCCCGGCTAATTTTTTTTTTTTTTTGTATTTTTAGTAGAGACGGGGTTTCACCGTGTTCGCCAGGATGGTCTGGGTCTCCTGACCTCGTGATCTGCCCACCTTGGCCTCCCAAAGTGCTGGGATTACAGGCATGAGCCACCACACCTGGCCTCTAATTTTTTTTTTTTTTTTGGAAGAATCTGTAAAGCATTTGTGTTAATTATTCTAGGAATGTTTGGAAGAGTTTATCGTTGAAGCCATCTTGATCCTTGGTGCTTGGTCTTTTTCTTTGTGAGAAGTTTTGTGATTACTAATTCACTGTCTTTACTTTTTTTTTTTTTTTGAAATGGAGTCTTGCTTTGTCACCCAGGCTGGAATGCAATGGTGCCATCTCAGCTCACTGCAAACTCTGCTTCCTGGGTTCAAGTGATTCTCCTATCTCAGCCTCCTGAGTAGCCGGGATTACAAGCACATGCCACCACAACCAGCTAATTTTTTGTATTTTAGTAGAAATGGGGTTTCACCGTGTTGCCCAGGGTGGTCTCAAACTCATGAGTTCAGGTGATTCGCCCTCTTCAGCCTCCCAAAGTGCTAGGATTACAGGGGTGAGCCACTGTGCTTGGCCTGTCTTTACTTTTTATAGATATAATTCAGGTTTTCTATTTCTACTTGAGTCAGTTTTGGTACTCTGTGTCTAGGAATTTGTTCATTTCATGTAGGTTGTTTAATTTTTTGCATATAATTGCTCACAGCATTTCCTTATAACTATATTTAATTTCCATAATGTTGATGGAAATTCCCCCTTTTTCATTTCTAATTTTATTAATTTGCATCTTCTGTCTTGTTTTTCTTAATCTAGGTAGAAATTGGTCAATTTTGTTGATGTTTTCAAAGAACAAACTTTTGATTTTTTTGATTTCCTCTAACAGTTTTCTATTCTACATTTTGTTTACCTCCACTCTAATCTTTGTTATTTTCTTCTGTCTGCTTGCTTTGGGTTTAATTTGCCCTTCTTTTTTAGTTTCTTAATGTAAAAGATGAGGTAATTGGTTTGACATCTTTCTTCTTTTTTAATATGGGCATTGTGGTGTAAGTTTTCTTCTAAGCACTGCTTTAGCTGGATCCCATAAGTTTTAGCATGCTGTTTTCATTTTCAGTAATCTCAAAGTATTTTCTAATTTGTCTTGTGATTTCTTCTTTGGCCCATTGGTTATTTAGAAGTGTGTTGTTTAATTGATATGTATTTGGGAATTTTCCAAGGTTATTTATTTATAATTTCATTCCACTGTGGATAGACAACACACTTTGTATTATTTCAATCATTTTAAATTTCTTGAGATTTATTTATGGCTTAACATACAGTCTATTCTGGAGAATGTTCCATGTGCACTTAAGATGAATAGGTATTTTGCTGTTGTTGGATGAATTATTTTATATATGTCTGTTAGGTCAGTTGGTTTATAGTGTTGTTCATGTCTTCTATTTTCTTGTTGATCTTATTTTGTTTTTCCATACATTATTGAAAATGAGATATTAAAGTCACCAATTATTAGTGTTTGAATTGTCTATTTCTCCCTTCATTCTGTCAGTTTTTGCTTCATATATATTGGGAGTCTGTTGTTAGGTGCAATTATGTTTATAATTGTTATGTCTTCTTGAGGGATTGACCCTTTTATCATTATGTAATTTTCTTTTTTGTCTCTAGTGACAATGTTTATCTTAAAGTCTATTTTGTCTGGTATTAGTATAGCCACTCCTGCTTTTTTCTGGTTACTGTTTGTATGTTATATATTTTTCCATCTTTTTACTTTCAACATATTTGAAATATATTGTGTTTGGTTAAACAGGCTTTTTCCATCCTTTTACTTTTACTTTCAGTCATTCGTATCTTTTTTTTTTTTTTTAGACAGGATCTCACTGTTGCCCAGGCTGCTGTGCAGTGGTGTGATCTTGGCTCACTGCTACCTCCACCTCCTGGGCTCAAGTGATCCTCCCATCTCAGCTTCCCTGAGTAGCTGGGACTACAGGCACATGTGCATTTTTGGTAGAGGTGGAGTTTCACCATGTTACCCAGGCTGGTCTTGAACTCCTGAGTTCAAGTGATCCACCCATCTTGGCCTCCCAAAGTGCTGGGATTACAGGTTTGAGTCACCATGCCCAGCCCTATTTGTATCTTTGATCTAAGTATATCTCTTGTAGACAACATACAGTTGGATCACATTAAAAAAAAAATCCATTCTCTGCCTTTTGATTGGAGTGTTTAATCCATTTAAATTAATGTAATACTGGTAAAGTAGAATTTACATATGCCATATTACCATGCAATTAATATATGTCTAGTGTCCTTCTTATTCTTCTATTCCTCCATTGCCTTTTGTGCTAGATATTATCTAGTATGCCATTTAAATTCCTTTATTAAAACAATAGTTTCTGTTACTATTTTCTAAAATTACTTTCTTAGTGATTGCTCTGAGGATTATAATTAACATCTTATAAAAATCAATTTTGGATTATTAGCTACTTACCTTTTATGCTATTTATGCAACTGTCTTTTAAATTAGAGAGAAGAAAAAGAGAGTTACAATCGAAAACCAATTTATACTGTATGTTATATTTACTTACATAGTTACCTTCACCAGTGCTCTTTGTTTATTTTTTTCATGTAGACTCAAGTTACTCTCTGATGTCTTTATTTCAGCCTGAAGGATTACCTTTAGAATTTCTTATAGGGTAGGTCTTCTACCAGTGAATTTTCTCATTAAAAGAAAAAAGTCTAGGAATGTATACATTTCCCCCTTTTTCAAAGGATAGTTTTGCTCAACATTAGTTTTGATTGGTAGCCTTTTTCTTTTGGTACTTTGAGCTTCCATGGTTTCTGATGAAAAAACCAGCTGATAATCTTATTGAAGACTTTTCTTTTTTTGAGATGGAGTCTCACTCTGTCACCCAGGCTGGAGTGCAGTGGCTCAGTCTCAGCTCACTGCAACCTCCGCCTCCCAGGTTCAAGCAATTCTCCTGCCTCAGCCTCCTGAGTAGCTGGGATTACAGGCATGAACCACTACGCCCAGCTAATTTTTTGTAAGTAGAGATGGGGTTTCTCCAGGTTGGCCAGGCTGGTTTCAAACTCCTGACCTCAAGTGATCCGCCTGCTTTGGCCTCCCAAAGTGCTGGGATTACAGGTGTGAGCCACCGTGCCCAGCCGAAGACTTCCTGTATGTAATGGATTGTTCCTCTCTTGCTGCTTTCAAGAATCTTTGACTTTTGACAGTTTGATTTTGATGTATTTAGGTATGAGTCTCTTTGAATTTCTTCTACTGCAGTTTATTATATTTCTTGGATGTGTAGATTAATATTGTTAATAAAATTTAGTCAATTTTAAACCACTATTTCTTTTATTATTCTTTCTGCCCCTTTCTCTCTCTCTCCTCTCCTCTGGAACTTCAATTATGTGTATGTTAATTATGCTTAATCATGTCCCACAGATCTCTGAGACTCTGTTTCTCTTCGTTTTTTTTCTGTTCCTCAGACTTCATAATCTCAATTAATCTATCTTCAATTTCACAGATTCATTTTTTTTGCCTGCTCAAATCTGTTGTTGAACCCCTCTAGTGAGTATGTTATTTCACTTATTGTTACTTTCCAACTCCATAATTTCCACTTAAAAAAAAATCTATCTCTTTAATGATATATTCTGTTTAGTTAAACATTGTTCTCATACTTTTCTTTAGTCTTCAAGACATGGCTTTTTTGTGTGTTTTTTGGATATAGTTAAAATTGCTGATTTAAGGCCTTTGTTTAGTGAATATAACATCTGGCCTTCTTCAGGGACACTTTCTATTGACTGCTTTTTCTCCCCTGTGTATGGACCATACTTTCTTGGGTTTTTTTGCATGCCTTATAATTTCTTGTTAAAGGTGGACATTTAAAATGATGTCACTGGTAACTCTAGAAATCTGATAATTCCTGACTCTTCAGGGTTTATTGTTGTTTCTTCTATTCATTCTTGCTGTTGTTGCTGCTTCTATTGTTTGTTTCATGACTTTCTTAAATTAAGTTTATGAAGTCTGAATTCTTTATCATGTGTGGCCACCAAAATCTATGCTCAGTTTATTGGGCAGCTAATGACTGAAAAGACATTTTCTTAAATCCCTGAAACCAATAATTTTCCCAGTCTTTGCAATTCTCCCAGCTTATAACTCTGCCTTAGCCTTCACTTCCTGCTTGTGCAGAGCCCCAAGGTCAGCCAGAGGCAAGAGCTTAGGGCTTTCTCGGGACTTTTCTAAGCATGTGTGTGGGCCTATGCACATGGCCTTCTAGATTCCCAGAAATATGTCTGAGTTTTTCAAAGCACCCTATGTGCATCTCACTTCCCAGCTTTTCTATTTAAGTTGTCTTACTAGAATATTATTTGCCAAACTGTTATTGCCACAGCTGCAATGTTAAACAATTACCACTGATTGTTTTTCTACAAATGTGTCTAGGGAAAAGGCTATGCACACTGAATGAGTTCTACGTAAGGTCAAATAAAGATGAGCCCAGCAGGTGGGGCTTTCCAGGGAACAGGTGACGGGTAAAACAGTGACCTTTTTTAGAGAATGGAGTTTTGAAAGAGTTCTAATCCCATTCTGACCTCTTCAGTTGCTTCTAGGCTGGTGGTTTCCCAAGGCTACAACACAGCTAAAGAGAGAGAGATGGAAACAGGGCCAAAGCTCACTGTTTTTTTCTGAGACCCAGCTGTTTTTCTTGAATAAATGCTTCCTGAATTATTGCAGCATGTGGTTAATCCCCAGAGTTCTGAAAAAGTTGATTTTGACAATTTTTTTTTTTTGCTTCACTTCTCATAGCTTTTATGGAGGAGAGAATTTTTGAAGCTCTTTACTCTGCCTTTCCCAATGACACCGTTCAAATGTGACTTTTCCACATGGCCCATACAGAAACTGTGCGGGCCTGTAATTTACTTTAACCAACAGAATGTGGTAGAAGTGACTTCCAGGCCAAGACCTTAACAGCCTAGTAGCTTTCATTTTTGCCCTCTTGGGATTCAGCTACCTGGTTAAAACAAAAACAAAAACAACAGCAAGAAAAACCACAAAACCCTGGGCTAGGCCACTGAATGATGAAAGAGAATAGGGAGAAAATGAGGTCCCAGTATTCCAGTGACCCCTGCCAAAGCCCCCCAAATGTGGATGAAGCCATCTTGGACTTCTGTCTAGCCTAGTCACCAACTAAATGCAGCTGCATGAATGAGTCCAGAGGAGAAAAGCACATTTTTAAATTTTATTTTTATGATTCCCTGCTTTTCTATGTAGAGCAAATGATACTGGTTTTCTATTTAAGGTTGTGATTATACATATATATTTACATATTTATTATATATAATATATATCTATTATATATAATATATAAATCATATATATTATATAACTATATATTACATAAATATATAAATTATATATTATATAACTATATATTACATAAATATATGATTATATATTATATAATTATATATTATATAATATATAATTATATGTTATATATTTTATATAATATATATTTATATAAATATATTTATATAAATATATATTTTTAAAACCTAACTCCAGATTTTTCCCTTAGATGAGGTGACAAATTGTTTTTTTTTGTTGTTGTTTAAACGAATTTGAGCTGGAGCTAAGCCTTCTCTAGTTTAGACAATGACTTCCAAACGACATGAGACCAGAGAGTCCTGAGATATCAAAGGCTGGACAGAATCCCAGCACTTGAAGATTCTTTAAGAAGTGACTTTAATTGAACCAAAGACCACTTACTGGCCACCACACCATGTCCCCTCCAGCCAGGAAGTAGCCTTTCACTGTGTCTCTTTTGGTCTTCACTGTGGACTGAAAAAAAAAGAAGAGAGGTGGGTGAGGGAAGACGTTAGCAATCAGAGGCATCTCAAAATGGCCTAGGCCAGGCAGGGATTGCAAACTGGGAGTCCTGAGGGCCAGATTCGGATATCAAATATATTTTGTTTCTCCCAGAGTTTTGGATAAAATTTTAATTTTGTGTCTTTAGAGGAAACATAAACTCTTCAGGTCAACAAAGCTCCTACCACTTGTTGCTACAAACATTTATTTTATGATAACCTACTTGGTCTCCCTAGACATTTGAGTCTTAGGCTCATGGCTTGTTTATGATGTTTTATAACTGATACCATTTATTGAGTGTTTACTATGTGCCAGATGCTGTGCCAAGCACTTTATATGCATTACCTCATTTAATCCTTACCAACCCCTATGAGGTTTGTGTCGTTAGGCCAATCTGATAAAGGAAGAAACCGAGGCTCATGTCTCAGTCTGCTTTGCACTACTATAACAAAATACCCGAAACTGGGTGATTTTTAAACAACAGAAATTTGTTTCTTACAATTCTGGAGACTTGGAAGTTCAATATCAAGGCACCGAGAGGTTTGGTGTCTGGTGAGAGCCTGTTCCTCGTAGATAGTACCTCCTCTGTGTCTTCACATGCCAGAGGAACAGAAGGGCAAAAAGGGGTAAAACTAGTTCCCTTGAGCTTCTTTAATAAAGTCTGTAATCCCATTCATGAGGGCTCAGTTCTTATGACTTAATCACCCTCGAAACGCCCCATCTGTTAATACTATCACATTGGTGATTAATTTTTTCTTTCTTTTTTCTTTTCTTTCTTTCCTTCCTTCCTTCCTTTTTCTTTCTCTTTCTTTCTTTCCTTCTTTTTCTTTCTTTCTTTTTCTTTCTTCTGCCTGCCCCTTCCCTTCCTTTTCCCTCCCTTCCTTCCTCCCTCCCTTCCTTCCTTTCTTTCTTTTTCTTTCTTCTTCTTGTCCCTTCCCTTCCCTTTCCCTCCCTTCCTTCCTCCCTCCCTTCCTTCCTTCCTTTCTCTTTCTCTTTCTTTCTCTCTCTTTCTTTCTTTTCTTTTATTTTTCTTTCTTTTTCCCTTCCCTTCCCTTCCTTCCTTTCTTTCCTTTCTCTCTCTTTCTTTCTTTTTTGAGACTGGTTCTCACTCTGTCACTCAGGCTGGAGTGCAGTGACATGATCATGGCTCACTGTAACCTTGAACTGCTAGGCACAAGCAGTCCTCCTGGCTCGGCCTTCCAAGTATCTGGGACTACAGGCATATGCCACCATGCTCAACTAATTTTTCTGTTTTTTGTAGAGATGGTATCTTACTATGTTGCCAGGCTGGTCTCGAACTGAGCTCAAGCGATCTGTTCACTTCGGCCTCCCAAAGTGCTGGGATTACAGGTGTGAGCCACTGTGCCTGACCTTTTATCTCAAAGTTGTTAATATCCTTAATACAAAAAGAGCTCCTGGAAATTGATAAGAAAAAGAAGAAGAACCTAATAGAAATAAGGCAAAAGATATGAAGCCATAGTTCACATAAAGAAAATATGTGGTGTTTAAACATACGTAATGGGGCCCAACCTCATTCATTGTAAGATAAATGCATATTAACAATACTGGCTGGGTGCGGTGGCTCACACCTGTAATCCCAGCACTTTGGGAGGCCGAGGCAGGCGGATCACGAGGTCAGGAGATTGAGACCATCCTGGCTAACACGGTGAAACCCCATCTCTACTAAAAATACAAAAAAAATTATCCGGGCATGGTGACGGATGCCTGTAGTCCTAGCTACTAGGGAGGCTGAGGCAGGAGAATGGCATGAACCTGGGAGGTGGAGCTTGCAGTGAGCTGAGATTGCACCAGTGCACTCCAGGCTGAGCGACAGCAAGACTCCGTCTCAAAACAAAAAACAAAAAACAAAAAAAACTTTGAGATATTATTTTTCCTAGTCTGACAAAAATGAGTTTGACAATACACTGTTGGTGAGAATGTGACAAAACAGACTTTCTCATCATTTCTGATGTGTACACCTAAGGAGTGCAATTTGACACAAACTAGTATAATCACAAATGCATATATTCTTTAATATACGCATTTCTGCTGCAGGGAATTTATCTTATAGCTACACTCCCAAACAGTGTACAGAGTTTATTTATTTATTTATTTTTGAGACGGATTTTCACTCTTGTTGCTCAAGCTGGAGCGCAATGGCACAATCTCAGCTCACCACAACCTCTGCTTCCCAGGTTCAAGTGATTCTCCTGGCTTAGCCTCCTGAGTAGCTGGGATTACAGGCACCCACCACCACGTCTGGCTAATTTTTTTATATATATTTTTTGAGATGGAATCTCACTCTGTCGCCCAGGCTGGAGTGCAGTGGCACGATCTCGGCTCACTGCAAGCTCTGCCTCCCGGATTCATGCCATTCTCCTGCCTCAGCCTCCCAAGTAGCTGGGACTATAGGCACCCGCCACCACACCTGGCTAATTTTTTGTATTTTTAATAGTGATGGGGTTTCACCACATTGGCCAGGCTCGTCTCAAACTCCTGGCCTCAAGTGATCTGCCCACCTCTGCCTCCCAAAGTGCTGGGATTACAGGCGTGAGCCACCGCGCCTGGCCTAATTTTTGTATTTTTAGTAAAGATGGGATTTCACCATGTTGGCCAGGCTGGTCTCAAACTCCTGGCCTCAAGTGATCTGCCTGCCTTGGCCTCCCAAAGTGCTGGGATTACAAGCGTGAGCCACTGCGCTGGGCCAGGGTTTGTTTATTATAGTATAGTTTATTATAGTAAGAGATTGGAAACAATCCAAATGACCTTCAGCCCGAGACTAGTTAAATAAATTACAACACAATCATCTAAGGAAATATTATGCAACTTTTAAGAAGATAAGGAATGTCTACGTGCTAATGTGAAAAGATATCTAAAAGATACTGAGAAGTGAAAAATAGAAAGCTAAAAAACAGTATAAGCTACCTTCTGTTTAAGAAAGAGGGAAATATGCAATTAAAATTTGCTTGGATTTGCATAAAGACACTTGAACCACACGCTTATGTACTAACAAGCTAATAATATTGGTTACCTGTGGAGAGAAGGCTAATATTGAGATTTTTCATCGCTTGTCATAAGTGATTTTTATTTGTGAGCCATGTGACTGTATTGCCTTTAAAGTTTTCTTTAAAGTAAAAAAAAACACAGTTGGGCTGTTTGTAATCCCAGCACTTTGGGAGGCTAAGATGGGAGAATTGCTTGAGCCCAGGAATTTGAGACCAGCCTGGGCAACATACTGAGATCCCATTTCTACAAAAAAAAATTTAAAAATTAACTACCTGGCAGCCGAGGTGAGAGGATCACTTGAGCCCAAGAAGTCGAGGCCGGAGTGAGCTATGATTGCCACCACTGCGTTCTAGTACCCTGAGCAACAGAGGGAGATCCCACCTCAAAAAGCAAAACAAACAAAACAAAAACAAAAACAAAACATGAGCTTCGAAGTAAGGGAGACAGGGATTCTAACCCTAACTCTCCTAACTTACAGGATGAGGATCTTAAATTATTTGGGCCTGTGTTTCCTTATCTGTAAAATGGGTATTGTAACAGCATCTTTCTCACAGGGGCCTGTGAAAATTACATGAGAAATGTAAGTGAAAATGCTTAAAACAGTGTCTGACAATAGTCCACACCCAATGCATGTTTAAAATTTTTAAGTTCTGATTACTCTATAACCTTGTGTTAGTTTCTTCCTCTCACAGTCAGTATCTTAGCTCCAAAAGGATGAGGTTAACTCCGGACCTCTAAACAGACATTTCCTTCTCTCTTCATCCCCCATCCCCCAGTGGCCTGGCTTACCCATAGTCCAACAGCCAGGACAAAGAGGAAGTACAGAACTAGCACCGCGATGTCCCCAGGCTCCAAGCCCTTCTGGGGAAACGCATCCAGGGGATCTAACTGTGGAGGCTGAGGGCTGCTGGTGCCGCTCTCCATGGTCCTGAACGAGACCTCTGGATCCTGAGGAAGGGCAAATGCCAGTCAAATGCCAGATCCTAGCATCATTCTTCTCACCCTTTCTGTAGCTACCTCCCTAGGCCATCCATGAAAGAGGACCCATGTGGAGGGATGTGTGGTGGAAGACAGATCTTCAGGGAAGACAGATCCATCCATCGATCCATCCACCATCCACTCACTCATTCATTCATTCAACACATATTCATAATGAAGTCACATCAAATCTGCAGTCAATTTTGTCACTCACTTGGCAAAATAGAAAGAAGCATAAACAATTGCAATAGTACAGATGATTTCAGCAAGCACGTGTCCCAGAGTGAAAGAAAAATGAGACACCTGAGTCAGTCTCCACTTCCGTGGTACCTCACAGCTGGGTGAGAGTCAAGTCAACAATTTTGTCCAAGGCTCAGCCAGACACCATAATCTTGTTCCAATGCTACATATACCATGAAATTTAATATATTTAATAAACACTCATATTGCATCTACTATATCCTGGGCATCATTCTAAGTGTTTACTAACCTGCAAAGTGGGCACTATTGTTATCATCCCCATTTTACAGATGGTGAAGTTGAGACACAGAGACACAGAAAAGTTAAGTAAGTGCCCAAGGTCATAAAGCTGAGATTTGAACTCAATAATCTTGCTCCAGAATCCATGCTTTGAGCCACTAATCTAAGCAGTTTTCTCAGTACCCTGCAAATCCATGGGCAATTTAAGGAAATCTTGTGGTAGACAGAGAAATGGCCCCCAAAGATGCTTACCTCTAATCCCCAGAACCTGTGAATATGTTGTTACATATCAAAGGACAATTAAGTTTGCAGATAAAATTAAGGTTGGTAGTCAAATCACTTAAAATTGGGAGATGCCTAGCTGCAGCTAACCTGAAAATAGGGAGATGCCTGGATTAACTGGGTGGGCCCCATGTAATCACAGTAAAAACAGAATCAGAAGAGATAGCCACAGAGATGACAGCATGAGAAGGATTTCACTCAACGTTGTTAGATTTGAAGATGGGGTAATGGAGCTACAAGCCAAGGAGTGCAGGTGGCTTCTAGGAACTGGAAAAGGCAAATTAATAGATTCTTCCTTAGCACATCCAGAAGGAATTCAGTCCTGCTGACACCTTGATTTTAGCCCAGTAAGACCCATTTAGAACTTCTAACCTCTGTAACTGTAAGGTCATAAATTTATGTTGTTTTAGCCACTAAGTTCATGGTAATTTGTTAAAGCAGCAGTCAGAAACTAATAAAATTTCCAAGGGTGATTTTTGACCACAAGTGATCAGGGCATTGACTTATTTCTGTGTTAAGATGCAACTCCACTCTGTTGGCCTTTGGGCATTCCGGAATGAAAATACTTGATCCTTGCCATCTTGCAATGCACAGCCCAGTGATGGGACAAAGCCACCCATGGACAACAACAGCACAACGTGATGTTTCACAGAGGGCAGGTTCATGGGGAGAGATGTTAAGAATTCAGGCTCCGAAGCTGTACACCTTGGCCGGGCTCAGTGGCTCATGCCTATAATACCAGCACTTCGGGAGGCCGAGGTGAGTGGATCCCATGAGGCCAGGGGTTCAAGTCCAACCTGGGCAACGTGGTGGACCCCGTCTCTACTAAAAATACAAAAATTAGCTGGGTGTGGTGGCGCATGCCTGTAGTCCCAGCTACTCAGGAGGCTGAGGCATGAGAATTGCTTGAATCTGGGAGGTGGAGGTTGCAGTGAGCTGAGATTGTACCACTGCACTCCAGCCTGGGCAAAAAGAGCAAGACCTTGACTCCACCATTTACACTTAGCTAAGTTTATTTTATTTTATTTTATTATTTTTATTTATTTATTTATTTTTTGAGATGGAGTCTCACTCTGTCTCCCAGGCTGGAGTGCAGTGGCCTGATCTCGGCTCACTACAAGCTCTGCCTCCCCGGTTCACACCATTCTCCTGCCTCAGCCTCCTGAGTAGCTGGGACTACAGGCGCCCACCACCACGCTCAGCTAATTTTTTTTTTTTTTTTTTTTTTTTGTATTTTTAGTAGAGATGGGATTTCACCGTGTTAGCCAGGATGGTCTCGATCTCCTGACCTCGTGATCCACCCACCTCGGCCTCCCAAAGTGCTGGGATTACAGACGTGAGCCACTGCGCCCGGCCTATTTTATTTTTTAAGAGACAAGGTTTCCCTATGTTCCCCAGGCTGGCCTTGAACTCCAGCCTCAAGAAATCCTCCCACCTTGGCCTCCCAAAGTGCTGGGATTACCAGCCCAGCCAAGGTACATTTTTAAAGTAAGAAAAAACTCCAACACTTTTCATTTTATGCAATCTGAAGGTAGGTTGTGGACTCAGATAGTGATAAATGGGATTTTCGCCCACATGAATGTCTGGTGGGTCCTCTGAAAATCTTTATTGCGTGGGCAATACACATTTCAGGAAGTCTAGAATTTCAGGCCTCCCCCTGCTGAATGCCAGTAGCACTCCCAAATTATTGTGACAACCAAAAATGCTCTCATACATTTTGAAACATCTCTGAAGGCCAGGAACACCTCCAGTGCACACATGTGCTCTGGGTTAAAGGATGTCAGTGAGGAATTTCTAATAAGAAAGTGGTATGATCAGACAGGGGGCAGCCTTGATGAGAAGCAAGAACGCGGGCAGGGAGGTTATTCTGGAGGTAGTGACTCCGGCTTGAGACCATACATAAGCAGGGGTTAGTCCATTCCTACTGTTACAATCAAATACCTTAGACTGTGTAATTTGTAAACAACATAAATTTATTGCTCACAGTTCTGGAGAAAGTCCAAGATCGAGCTGTCAGCAGATTCAGTGTCTGGTGAGGGCCCGTTCCTCATAGGTGGCACTTGCTTGCTATGTCCTCATATGGTAGATGGATGGGTCAAGTTGGCTCTCTCAAGCCTTTTTGTTTTATTTTTATTTATTTATTTATTTATTTATTTTGAGACAAGGTTTCACTTTGGTGTCCAGACTGGAGTGCAGTGGCACAATCACTTTTTCTCTTTTTTTAAAGAGACAAGAGTTTTGCTCTGTTACTCAGGCTGGAGTACAGTGGCACAATCACAGCTCACTGCAACTTCAACCTCCTAGGCTCAAGAGATCCTCCTGCCTCAGCCTCCCAATTAGCTGGCACTATAGATGCACCACCATGCCTGGCTAATTTTTTTTTTTTTTTTTTTGTAGAGATGAAGTCTATGTTGCTCAGGGTGGTCTCAAATTCCTGGGCTCAAGCAATTCCTCCAACTCCGCCTCTCAAAGTGCTGGGATTATAAGCATGAGCCACCGCACCTGGCCTCAAGCCTCTTTTATAAACGTGCTAATCCCATCCATGGGGGCAGAGTCCTCATAACCCTAACCCTCTCAAATGCCCTGCCTCTTAATACTATTGCATTAGGGATTTAGGTTTCAATGTAGGAATCTGGGGACAGAGGGACATGCACAATCAGATCATAGCAGAGGGAGTAGATTAGAGAAATAATTTGGAGGCCAGGTGTGGTGGCTCCAGCCTATAATCCTACCACCTTGGGAGGCTGAGGCAGGAGGATCACTTGAGCCCAGGAGCTTGGCTACAGTGAGTTATGATTGCCCCACTGCACTGCAGCCTGGGAGGCAGAGCAAGACCTTGCCACAAACAAACAAACACACACACACACACACAAGGCTAACCTAACCTAACCTTTCTCTGTGCAAGAAAGTGAGAGAAGGCCTAGAGGTGGAGACTCCCTTTCAGGGTAAGGGTGGAGGCTCTTAAGGGAGGTTCCAAGCAGGAAAAGCATTCTGGCAGCTTCAGGAGGGGAGGGGGTGAGGGGACCCTTGTGGGTTGTCTCAAGGGTGAAGCCCCATTAGGTAAGTAATGTTCTCATCAGACTTTACAGGGGAGGAGGCTGGGCACAGTGGCTCATGCCTGTAATTCCAGCACTTTGGGAGGCCAAGGCAGGAGGATCACCTGAGGTCAGGAGTTTGAGACAAGCCTGGGTAACATGGTGAAATCCCATCTCTACTAAAAATGCAATTTTTTTAGGTGGGTGTGGTGGTATGCAACTGTAATCCCAGCTACTTTGGAGGCTAAGGCAGAAAGATCGCTTGAACCCGGGAGGCGGAGGTTGCAGTGAGCTGTGATTATGCCACTGCACTCCAGCCTGGGGGACAGAGTGAGACTCTGTCTCCGGAAAAAAAAAAAAAACTTTACTTTACAGGGGGAGTGATGGCTCTGAGAGTTTAAGTCGTGTCCAAAGTCACATGGCTGACAAGTGACAAAGCTGGGACTCGAATCCAGTCTGATTTCAGAGTCTGTGTTTTCAAACACTTCAACCTGCTGCTTCTAAAACAGGATTTGGGGAAAGATGAGGAGTAGAAAAGTGCAGGAAGCATGTTTAGGTGGAGGTTGATGCTGAATTGGGGAGTGGGGCAGAGGGAGGAGGGAGGAGGGGCGGCGGCTGCCTGGTGAGCCAGTCCTCCCTGTCCCTGCCCGCCCCTTCCAGACCTCTGCCTGCCAGGCACCGAGAGAGCAGTGGGAGAAGCTCCAGCAGATAAACAAGTTATTCATCATCGCCGTGGGGCCCACAGCCGGCGAAACTGGCACCGATTCCAAGCCCTTCCTGAGTCTCCGGGAGGTGGGGCCCAGCCAGGGGCCGCGAGGGACGTGGCTCCATCTTCACGGTGGAGACAGGAACAGCGACCAAAGATGCTGTGGAGCCTCGGCCACAGGATCCCAGGAGGAACCCTCCATGCGCTCCACCCTCTGCAAATTCATGCAGTAGGTATACTGAGAATCGGCCCTAACACTTGGTGAGCACGATTTCTATTTGAGTGCCAGGCATGGAGCACAGCCCTTTGAGGCAAACGTGATTTCACCTCCATTTCACAGGTGGGAATCAGAGGCACAAGAGGGGAAAGTGAGCCTAACTCAGGCATAGCTGTGCTGCTTGCTTCTAGGCCGCAGTCAGTGCCGCGGGTGGGATCCCAACCCAGGTTTGGAGGTGGCCATTCCTGGCTGGTCTTTCTTTCCTCCCGCCCTTCTCTCCTTCATTCTCTCTTTCCCTCCCTCTGGCTCTATTTCTTTCCTGCAAGCATTTATTAGGCACCAGCTGTGTGCCAGGCTCCATGCCAGGCCCTGAGGACTTAGTGGAACATTTATTAGTCACCAGCTGTGTGCCAGGCTCCACGCCAGGCCCTGCAACTCAGTGGAACATTTATTAGTCACCAGCGGTGTGCCAAGCTCTGTGTTAGGTCTTGTGACTCAGTAAAACAAATGTTATTAGGCATCAACTATGTACCAGGCTCTGTACTAGGCCCTGGGGACTCAGTGAAATAAACATTTATTAGGCACCAACTATGTACCAGGCTCTGTACTAGGCCCTGGGGACTCAGTGAAACAAACATTTATTAGGCACCATCTGGGTGCCAAGCTCTGTGCTAGGCCCTGGGGACTGAGTGCAACAAACATTATTAGGCACCAACTGTGTACCAGGTTCTGTGCTAGACCCTGGGGACTCAGTAGAACAAACATTAGGCATTAGTTGTGTGCCATGCTCTGTGCTAGACCCTGGGGACTAAGTACAACAAACATTTATTAGGCACCGGCTGTGCACCATGCTCTGTGCTAGACCCTGGGGACTCAATAGAACAAACATTTATTAGGCACCAGCTGTGTGCCATGCTCTGTGCTAGGCCCTGGGAACTCAGTAGAACAAACATTTATTAGGCATCAGCTGTGTGCCATGCTCTGTGCTAGGCCCTGGGGACTCAGTAGAACAAACATTTATTAGGCATCAGCTATGTGCCATGCTCTGTGCTAGGCCCTGGGGACTCAGTGAAATAAACATTTATTAAGCAACAACTGTGTGCCAAGCTCTGTGTTTGGCATGAAGGACAAAACAATGAGAAGCGTAGACTTGGCCCCGTCCTCTGGGTTTTCATCTCAGTCCCCTGCACCCTGTGTGTACCTGGGCCCACTCGGTGAAGTGACCCCGGGCACCCTTTGTCCCTTGCATGGTGATGTTTGGCTCCCAGGCTGCCTCAGGAGGGTCTGGTTGGGGTGGTTGGGGGTGGCTCCTTCTTCACCTCTTGTGAAGAACCCTCCCTGTGCCCGCGGGGAGGATTCACGGCAGCTTGTGTTATAACAAAGGCTTTGTTGGCAAGGAGAACAGCCTACCCTTGAGGTCGCCTATTGGCCAATGCACAAAAGGAAGCTCAGTGGAGCAGGGACTTCTCTCATCCCTTCCTTTTGGCCACTGACATAATTTGCTATGGTAGATGTGAAAATTTTCCACGCCCCAGGAGATGTGAAAAATTTCCACACCCCAGTGCAAGGAAAAGATCAGAAAAGAGGTTCCCAGGTCACAGGTGTGGGAAGGTGAGCTGTGATTGTATTTGCCGCATTTCATGCCTTAGGCTGGCTTCTGGATGTGCGTGATTCTTTATAACTTCTGTGTGTCTGAAACGTTTCATAATGAAAGAAAAAGGAGGGAAATAAACAGAGCACAATTTATAGCATGAAGCCAAAGCACTCAAAGACACAAAATAGTACTATTTTGCCAGAGTGCAGGCGTATTTCCAGATGAGTATCAAACACATTAGAGGGGGTGGCAGGAATCGGGGGAGAAACAGATAGAGTGGGAGAGAGAGAGAGAGAGAGAGAGAGAAGCAAGGGAAGTTCCCTGCTCTGAATGAAAATGACAATGACTAATTACAAATTTTAATTATGAGCAACAGACTCTCCAGGAAATAGATATGTCGTGATAAAGCGTAAAGTGTAAATACTTTAGAACTGCACCGCCCTGACTCAGATCCCAGCTCTGCCTCCTGTGAGCTCCTTCATCGTGGGCAAGTCACCTCTCTGAGGCTCAATTTCCCATCTACGAAATGAGGTTAATAATTAGACATACGTCACAGGTTTGTAAAAAGCAGTAGGCATGTTCATTGTATGTGTAATGTGATTAAATACAGAGTACTTGTTCTGTTCCCCGTCCATTTTATAAAACCATTTTTTTTAAAGAAAGCATGACTTGGGAGGCTGAGGCAGGAGGATTGCTTGAGCCCAGGAGTTTTGTTTTGTTTTGTTTTTTTTGAGATGAAGTCTCACTCTGTCCCCCAGACTGTAGTGCAGTGGTGCAATCTTGGCTCACTGCAACCTCTGCCTCCTGGCTTCAAGCGATTCTCCTGCCCCCAAGCGATTCGCCTGCCTCAGCCTCCCAGGTAGCTGGGATTACAGGCGTTTGCAACCACGTCCGGCTAATTTTTTTTTTCTTTTTTTGTATTTTTAGTAGACATGGGGTTTCACCATGTTGGCCAGGCTGGTCTTGAACTCCTGACCTCAGGTGATCCGCCTGCCTTGGCCTCCCAAAGTGCTGGGATTACAGGCGTGAGCCACTGCCCTGGGCCCAAGCCCAGGAGTTTGAGACTGCATTGAGCTATGATTGCACCACTGCATTCCAGCCTGGTGACAGAGTGAGACCCTATCTCTAAAAACAATAAAAATAAAAATAAAAGGAGCATAAACTAGGCCGGGTGCAGTGGCTTATGCCTGTAATCCCAGCACTTTGGGAGGCTGAGGCAGGTGGATTGCTTGAGGTCCAGAGTTCGAGACCAGCCTGGCCAACGTGATGAAACCCTGTCTCCACTAAAAATACAAAAATTAGCAGGGCGTGGTGGTGGGCTCCTGTAATCCCAGCTACTTGGGAGGCTGAGGCAGAAGAATCGCTTGAACCTGGGAGGTGGAGGTTGCAGTGAGCTGAAATTTCACCACTGCACTCTAGCCTGGGTGACAGAGCAAGACTCTGTCTTAAAGAAAAAAAAAAAACGAATAAACTTTGTGGTTAGGCAAACCTTGGCCACATATGTGCATGAATCATGTTTTGAAGTCACAGCCTCCCTACAAGGACTCTGATTAACTCCATTGTACAGGTGAGGAAAACAAAGCTGAGGCCGGGTCTAAGGCCACACTGCTAGTAAATGACTGAAGCAGGGCTCCAACCCAGGTTTAACTCTAGAGCTCCTAACTACCCCGAGACACGTGGACCTTGGTGGGGAAAATTCCAGATGTGATAAGGACTGGCACGGGTCTCATCACCCAGGCTGGAAGCCACTCGCACCCTTTCCTACCACTCCTGGGCTGCAGTGGCGCTGACTGCCTGCTGCACTGCAGCAAGCTGTGCCCTGGCCTGGCCTGGGTCTAGGGAGCCTAGTGGAGGCAGCCCTACAAGAGGAAAAGAGTCAGTCCTGGAAGGCAGAGAAGGGCTGTCTGGGACTAGAACTGCAGGAATAAGGAGCTAAATGACCACCCCTGGCCTCCTCCACCCGTTGATGCCATGGGGTTCATAGAAACAGAGAGATCTCTACAAAAAGGCCAAAAAGACAGATCCTGGCTGGGCTCAATGGCTCATGCCTATAATCCCAGCATTCTGGGGGGTCAAGGCATGAAGATCGCTTGAGGCCGGGAGTTTGAGCCCAGCTTGGGCAATGTAGTGAGACCCTTTTTTTTTTCTCCTCTACAACAAATTTTTAAAAATTAGCTGGGCATGGTGCTGTGTGTCTGTGGGCCTGGCTATTTGGGAGGCTGAGGCAGAAGGATTGTTTAAGCCCAAGAGGTTGAGGATGTAGTGAGCTGTGATTGCACCACTGCACTCCAGACCCTGTCTCAAATAATAGATAATAATAATGATAATAAAATAAAAAATTTTAAAAAGACATCTCAGGATTTGAGGCTGAAGCAGAGGCCAGGATCACCCCTAGTCCGTTAGCAAGAGCCACGGCTTCAGGTATCTGGAAATAAATTCTAGGCATGGCAGGGCAGGGCAGCGTTCCCTGAATGGTCCACAGCAGGGTAACAGGGCATATGCCCAGTGAGTGCAGGGGACCCGGCAGAGCGTTGTCCTTCACCTGCCTTTCAGGGATGATCTTGTCTCATTATTCCAGAGAGAATAGACATCACAGAGCACCTTCTGAGCCCAGACCTGTCCATCCAAATGCCAACGTGGCATCTCTCATGGATATATATATATATATATATATATATATATTTTTTTTTTTTTTTTTTTTTTGCCCCCAAGGCAGAGTCTCGCTCTGTTACCCAGGCTGGAGTGCAGTGGTGCAATCTCTGCTCACTGCAACCTCTGCCTCCCGGGTTCAAGCGATTCTCCCGCCTCAGCCTCCCGAGTAGCTGGGATTACAGGCATGTGTCACCACGCCTGGCTAATTTTTGTGTTTTTAGTAGAGATGGGGTTTCACCATGTTGCCCAGCTTGTCTTGAACTCCTGACCTCGGGTGATCCACCCGCCTCGGCCTCCCAAAGTGCTGGGATTACAGGCGTGAGCCACCGTGCCCGGCTTCTCATTGTTACTTAATAGATGTCTGAAAGTTCACACGTGCGAGTTACAGACCAAGCTTTCCAGCCCAAGCACGTGCTTCTTCCAGTCTTCCCCACCTCACTAAATGACAGCTGCAGCCACTCTGCCACTCCTGCCAGAAACCTGAGTCATCTATAAGGCATTAGTCCATTTGTTCACTTATCAAGTGGTCTGTGAGCACCTCTATGTGCCAGGCACTACATCTAAGCACCAAGAGTGCCTGGTATGTAAATGTCTCATCGAAGAATTTATAGCATCTCTTTCTCACCTCCCAGAATCTATTCACTCCCAATTCCATTCTCTCTTACTTCCAAAACATAATAAATCCACACATTTTCCCTCATTTTTAGTGCTATCACCCTTGTCTGAGCCACCATCACTTCTGTCTAGGTTAGAGAAAGACCCTCCAGTCTTACCTCCCCGATATCCATTCTTCCTTCCTTTTTATTTTATTATTTTATTTTTGTTTTAATTTACTTAATTTTTAGAGACAGGGTCTTGTTCCCTTGACCAAGCCGCAGTGCAATGGTGCCATCAGAGCTCACTGTGGCCTCAAACTCTCGAACATCTGTGCTCAAGGGATCCTCCCACCTCCGTCTCCCAAGTAGGTGGGACCACAGGTACATGCCAACATGCCTAGCTAATTTTTTATTTTTTGAGACAGGGTTTCACTCTGTTGCCTGGGCTAAAGTGCAGTGACACAAACACAGCTCCTGCAGCCTCAACCCCATGGGCTCAAATGATCCCTGCACAGTGCTGGGATTACAGGTGTGAGCCACCATGCCTGGCCTCCAGCTAACTTCTTATTTTGTAATTTTTTTGTAGAGACGGGGTCTTGCTATGTTGCCCAGACGGGTCTCAAACTCCAGGCCTCAAGCAATCCTCCCAACTTGGCCTCCCAAAGCACTGAGGTTGCAGGCATGAGCCACCTCACCCAGCCTTGCTTCCTTTTAATCCGCCCCTCACACGGAAGCCAGAGAAATCTTTAAGTATGAGTCAGATCAGATCATTTTCCTGCTCAAAACATCTCCATGCTGCTGGGGTGCTTTGTTGTGCTTCCAACCCCACCACATACTAGCATTCATTTTATTCCTGGAACACGATTTCTGGCCTCAGGGTCTTTGCCATTCTGTTCCCTCTGCCTGGGATGCTCTTCCCTGCACTCTTTGCTGGACAAGCTCCTACTCATCCTTTAGATGTCAGCCTGCTGTATATCCCCAAAGGAGCCCCCTCTTGGCCTCAATATAAATTGGGTCCCCAAGCTTTTTGCTTTCATGGCAAACACAACTTCTCATCACAGTCTAATCAAGTGTAACACTTGATGTGTGTGATTACCCCTTGTCTGCACTGCACAGCAAGCCCCATAAAGAAAGGTCCATGTCTCTGTCACTCTCATTGTGTCCCCAAAACAGGCATGCAATAAATGTTGGTACAACAAATAAATGTGGGATTTTTAGAGCCTTTGCTATAGATCCTTTGCACGCTGTGACCGCCCAAAAAAGGGACAGCATTTTTCCAAGTCCTATCTGCAGGATGCCCAATGGGCTAGGACACTTCTGTCAACTATTGCCCAGAATAATTCAGCAGAACACCATTTGAAAACCACTGATTGGTAGGGTGCAGTGGCTCATGCCTGTAATCCCAGCACTTTGCAAGGCTGAGGCGGGAGAATCGCTTGAGTTCAGGAGATTGAGACCAGCCAAGGCAACACAGGGAGACCCCATTTGTACAAAAAATAAAAATAAAAAAGTTAGCAGGGCATGCTGGTGAGCTATGATAGTACTACATTTCAGCCTGGGCAACACAGAGAGACCCTGTGAAAGAAAAGACAGAAAAGAAACGAGAGAGAGAGAGAACAGAAAACACACACAGAGAGAGAGAGGAGGCAAAGAAGGAAAGAAGGAAGGAGAAAGGGAAAGAAAGGAAGAAATAAATAATAAAAGAGAGAGAAGAAAGAAAGAAAGAAAGAAAAAAGGGAAAAGAAAGAGAAACAGAGAGGTGGGAGGGAGGGAAGGAAGGAAAGAAGGAAGGAGAAAGAAAGGGAAAGAAAGGAATAAGGAAAGAAATAAAAGAAAGAAGGAAAGAAAGAAAGAACAAAGAAAAGAAAGGAAAAGAAAGAAAAAGAAAGAAAGAGAAAAAGAAAGAAAGGAAAGAAAAAGAAAATCACTGATATTGTGGCTGAGCTCATGGCCACAGGAATTGAGTCTTGGCTTGGCCACTCACTATCTGTATTACCTTGAGCAAGTTATTTAATGACCCTTAGACTCTGTCCATGAATTAGGGGGTGCTGTACCTACCTTACAGGGTTTCTGTGTCAGTTAGATGAGATCCAGGCGTAAAGTTCTCTGCACGTGTCTGACACGTACCAGTGAAGACTTGTATTTGCCTTGTAGTTAACAGCAGCTGCAGTTGTAGTAAATACATTCCTATAGCTTTTTAATGCTTATGTGGATACATTTACCTTCGTTATCTCTGGGTAACACACCTGTGGGGTGGGTCAGCCTGAGGTTCATATTCCCATTTGACAGATAAGGAACCTGAGACTCGGTGAGGCAAAATGTTTGGCTCAATGTCCCTGACCTTGGTTAAGTGGAAGAGCTGGGACCCACGTACGGTGCTGCTGGCTGCCGGCTGCTGGCTTCATACCACCATGCCCACCCCACAAACACACTCCATTGTCCTGGTGTATGACAAGCTTTCTCTGCAGAGAGGGCTGAGCTTCCCCTGCCCCACAGGTGACAGCTGGAGTCCTTCTGCCAGCACCTGTCCCCAGACCAACTTCCCAGTTTGGAGAGTGGCTACCTGTTTGGGGGCAGGGGGTGTCTTACCTTATTCCAGATGCAGGGCTCACCTGCCCTGGGGGCTGTCAGTGGCTTCTAAGGCACTAGGAGGTGGCGGTGGTTGTAAGGAGGGAGATACCCGGGATCCTCTCTCTTTGCAGCCAAGAGCTTCCGGAGACAGCAGTGACCCTTCCTCCTATATGCCCGCTGCTGAGAGAGCCTCCAAGCGGGTCAAACTCCAAACTCCAGCCTCAGCTGCAGCGGGGATTAAAGGAAGCGTGAATGATCTCCCCAGGGCAGAAGAGAGAACGGGGCCCAGCCCAGGACCCTTGAACTCTGAGCAGGTGGGGAAGGTGACATGTCCCACGCTCTGCCCACACCGTCCTCCACCAGGGTCCTCACCTGCGTGGGGACCCATGGCATGGAGGGGTTGGGGAGACGCTGGAGCCCAAGGCACCATCCTGCTTCACTCACCCAGTCTTCCACTGTCCCGCCTCCACGCTGGGGACAGGCAGGCTTGGGACGAGCTGGAGGAAGGGGAGGGGAGGAAAAATGCTGGCGGCGGATGGAGGGGACAGAGGCAAAGTGCCAGGAGGGACGTCCAGCCACAGCCCTCACCGCAGTGGCAGCAACAGGAACAGCAACCATTGCTTGTGCAACCCCTTTCCATATACTCTTCAGACAGAGGCATGGCAAAGAACAGGTGTCTGCCTGAAGTCGAGAGTTCGAGACCAGCCTGACCAACATGGAGAAACCCCATCTCTACTAAAAATACAAAGTTAGCCGGGTATGGTGGTGCATGCCTGTGGTCCCAGCTACTCGGGAGGCTGAGGCAGGAGAATCACTTGAATCCGGGAGGCGGAGGTTGTGGTGAGCCGAGATTACACCATTGCACTCCAGCCTGGGCAACAAGAGCGAAAATCAGTCTCAAAAAAAGAAGAAGAAGAAGAAGAAGAGGTGTCTGAGGCCCTGAAAAACCGTCAGGAGTGACCGAGCCATGGCCAGGCGCCCACATCGGGCCCAGGACATCAGCGGGGCATAGCGAAGATTTCTGCCAGATGCTCAAAGCATCCAAAACTTTATTTACTTTTTATTTCTGAGACAGGATCTCACTCTGTCACCCAGGCTGGAGTGCAGTGGTGGCATCACAGCTTGCTGCAGGCTCATCCTCCTGGGCTCAAGTGATCCTCCCACCACAGCCTCCCGAGTAGCTGGGACTACAGGCGTGCACCACCACACCCAGCTAATTTTTTCATTTTTTTGGTAGAGAGAGAATCTTGCTATGTTGCCCAGGCTGGTCTCCAACTCCTGGGTTTAAGTGATCCTCCCACCTTGGCCTCCCAAAGTGCTGGGATTACAGGGGTCAAACACTGTGCCAGGCCAAATACCAAAACATTTTAAAAATAGTTACTAGTATTTGCAAACCAAGAGGCTTGAAACATAATTCTAGAATACTCACTTTTCTAGAACAACCTGAAGATCTGGCCTCACCAGGCCCCCATGGCCACAGGACAGCTGCTGACTGGGGAGGAGTCGTGGCCTCCCCATCTCACTCCTTCACTGGGCCTGCCAGGCTCTGGGGGGCCCTCAGCTGAGGCCCCTGTCCTGGCACCGAGTAGCCAGAAATAATAGCAGTGATGAACACGTGCCAGGCTCTAAGGGCACAACATGCCTTTACTCACTTGGTCTTTCCAACAACCCTCGAAGTTAGGTCCTGTTATCTCTATCTTACTGACGAGGTAACAGAGGTAGAGGAGATGAGTCATCGGCCCAGGATCACCCGGGTTGTAAGTGACACAGCAAGATTTCAGCCCAGGCCACCTGGCTCTAGAGTCCTGCAGGAGCAGTGGAGGGTGGCTTGACTGGATAAAGGGTGGCCTGGGTGAGCAAACACTGGGTGACTGACCAACACCAGTATGAATGGGGCCTTTGGGGGAGGGACCTGCCCTGGGGGACAGATTTACAGAAGGAACAGCTGGGATTGGAGAAGAGGGACAGACAGAAGGCCATGAATCTGTGATCTGCAGCAGAGGCCACAGCACCAGGAAAGGCAGTGGGGTGCCACCGAGGGTGCACTGCTTCGCCAACCTGGGGTCCAGTCCTGACTTCTTGGGAATGTCTGGGGAGCCTTAGCCATGTGCAGGGTGTCTACAGAAGAGGCGTGGTAGTGAGTGAAGCCGGGCAGGTGGAGCTGAGGCTGACCCGAGAGCATGTGTCCCAGCTGAAGAGGACAGCCACGACCCAGCTCCACGTGGGGGAAGACAGGCCCAATGGGGTCAGAACTTCTGATTGTTCTAGAGAAGTTCTGCAAAGTTTCATGATTACGCATCCTTGAGGGCCAGATGTGGCCTGCTCGACCCTTGGCTTGTCACCTCCGATTGTTTCTCTGTCAGGTTTTTCATTTTTACCCTCAGTGCTATAAAGAATAGGAGAGGTGGAGTGCAGGGGCTCATGCTATCATCTCAGAGCTTTGGGAAGCTGAGGCAGGAGGATCTCTTGAGGCCAGGAGTTAGAGGCCAGTCTGGGTAACTCAGTGAGACCCTCATCTCTACACAAAATAGGAAGAATTAGATGGACATAGCAGTGTGCACCTGTAGTCCCAGCTACTCAGGAGACTGAGGTGGGAGAATCGTTTGAGCCCAGGAGTTCAAGGCTGCAGTGAGCCATGATAGTGCCACTACACTCGAGGCAACAGAATGAGATCTCAATTCAAAAAAAAAAAAAAAAAAAAAAAGAACTGTATAACCACTTTAGAGAACTATTTGGACATTTCTTATAAAGTTACCATACACTTTGCCGAGCGCGGTGGCTCATGCCTGTAATCGCAGCACTTTGGGAGGCCAAGGTGGGTGGATCACAAGGTCAGGAGTTCAAGACCAGCCTGCACTCGTCTCTACTAAAAATACAAAAATTAGCTGGGTGTTGTGGTGGGCCCCTGTAATCCCAGCTACTCAGGAGGCTGAGGCAGGAGAATCATTTGAACCTGGGAGGCAGATGGAGGTTGCAGTGAGCCAAGACCGTGCCATTGCACTCCAGCCTGGGTGACAAGGCGAAACTCCATCTAAAAAATAAAATTAAATAAATAAATAAATAAAGTTACCATACACCTCCCCCATGACCCAGCAATTTCACTCTTAGGTATTTATCAAGAGAAATGGAGACATATGTTCCCAAAAAGTTGTGCACACAAGTGTTCATGGTGGCCTTATTCAAAACTGTTTCTAAGTGGAAACAACACCAGTTCCATCGACAGGTGAGTGAAGAAACAAACTGCGGTGCATCCAACACCGTGAAAAACTTTCATCGAAAGGAATGAACTACCCAACCCACGCAACACCACGGATGAATCGAAGACTCTACGAAACATTATGCTGAGCAAAAGGAGCTGACCTGGGCTGGGTGCGGTGGTCACACCTGTGATCCCAGCACTTTGGGAGGCCGAGGTGGGTGGATCGCCTGAGGTCAGGAGTTCGAGACCAGCCTGGCCTATGTTGTAAAACGCTGTCTCTTCCAAAAATATAAAATTAAATTATCCTGCTGTGGTGGTGTGCGCCTGTGGTCCCAGTTACTCGTGAGGCTGAGACAGGAGAATTGCTTGAACCCAGGAGGTGGAGGCTGCAGTAAGCCAGGATCACGCCACTGGACTCCAGCCTGGGTGAGACAGAGCAAGACTCCATCTCAAAAAAAAAAAAAAAAAAAAAAAAAAAAAGCTGACATGAAAAGAGTACAGACCTTATGATTCAATTTATGTGAGGCTCAAGAACAGGAAAGATGGATTTGTGGTGACAGAAGTCAAAGAACAGGACCCAGTGAACAACTGGAAGAGGGTGGGAGTGTGCTCTCAGAGGTGATGGAAATTTCTATTATCTTGAATTGGGTGGTAATTATACGGTATATACAATTGGTAAAACCCCGTGAATTGAAGGATGAACACTTATGCTTTTTTTTTTTTTTTTGACCAAGTCTCACTCTATCACCCAGGATGGAGTGCAATGGCGCCATCTCAGCTCACTTAAACTTCTGTCTCCTGGGTTCAAGTGATTCTCCTGCCTCACCCTCCCAAAGTGCTGGGATTACAGGCATGAGCCACCGCGCCTGGCTGACTCATGCATTTTATTGTATGTAAATTATATCTTTAAAAATGAGAGCAGATGGCCGGGCACAGTGGCTTACCCCTGTAATCCTAGCACTTTGGGAGGCCGAGGTGGGCGGATCATGAGGTCAAGAGATCGAGACAATCCTGGCCAACATGGTGAAACCCTGTCTCTACTAAAAATACAAAAATTAGCCAGGCGTGGTGGGGTGCACCTGTAGTCCCAGCTACTCGGGAGGCTGAGGCAGGAGAATCGCTTGAACACAGGAGATGGAGGTTGCAGTGAGCCGAGATCATGCCATTGCACTGTAGCCTGGGTGACAGAGTGAGACTCCATCTCAAAAAAAAGAGCAAATATACAAACAGTGAATTCATACAGAGCAAATACACTGAGCAAATACAGTTATTGCGAGTCTGTCTCCCAGATTTTAGTTCCAGCCCATTGTCACCACGTAAGAACGTGGGTCTTATGTTGCCAGCATTCCTTTTGCAAGAGAAATCTAAGTCTGGGTTTTTTTTGTTTTTGTTTTTGTTTTTAATAGAAACTCTGATGACTTGTAAGGTTTGGTAAATTCAAAAGCAACAAAATAGCTAAAATGCGGGGTGTGTCAAATGATGCACGGGGCTCTGTTTGGAATCTGTATTCCTGGGTCGCATGTTCTCCTAGAGGGCTCAAGATGTGATTTCTTCCTAGATTTTCTGCAGACTTTTAATAACACACCTTTGCCTACCCACATCCCTAACAACTCAAATGTTGCTATTTGTTGCAAGAATTGAAAAGAGCAAATCCTCAAAACTGAAATAAGCTTTTCTAGGCAACATGCAAGCCTGGGAGAAAGAGTCCCTGTTAAGACAAGATACATTTGTTGACTTAGCAACAGTGAGCCCTTGGGCAAGTCTCAGTCTCTCTGAGCAATCAGTTTCCTCCCTAGCTCTCCCAAAATCCCCTAAGTTAACCATGAGCTGCCTACCTGGCATTTAGTTGACTCTGAGGATTTCAAGGCTTATTCTTGCTCTTTAGTGTGGCTTCAAAGAGGGAAAACTACAGTTTTTCTCTCTCTCTCTCCCTCTCTCTCTCTCTCTCTGGTTTTGTTTCTATCTCCCAAGAGTCACGGTTCTCACAAACCTGGCTTGCTTTTCATCCACAGTAGCTGCAGGAGACTGTGTGGGTTAAGAACCCAGAGATGGGGCTGGGCATGGTGTCTGACACCTGTAATCCCAGCATTGTGGGAGGCCGAGGTGGGCAGATCACTTGGGCCCACGAGTTTGAAACCAGCCTAGGCACCATGGTGAAACCCTGTCTCTACAAAAATTAGGAAAAAAAAAAAAAAAAAAAAACTGGGTGTGGTGGTGTGCACCTGTAGTCCCAGCTACGCAGGAGGCTGAGGAGGCAGGATCACTTGAACCCAGGAGGTCGAGGCTGCTCCTCCCCCTCCCCCTCCCCCTCCTCCCCTCCTCCTCCTCCTCTTTTCTCTTCTCCTTTTCCTTCTCCTTCTCCTTCTTCTTTTCTTGTTTGTTATTTTTTCCAGGCTGGAGTGCAGTGGCACAATCTCGGCTCACTGCAACCTCCGCCTCCTGGGTTCAAGCGATTCTCCTGCCTCAGCCTCCCAAGTAGCTGGGAGTGTAGGCACCTGCCATCATGCCCTGCTAATTTTTGTATTTTTAGTAGAGACAGGGTTTCACCATGTTGGCCAGGCTAGTCTCAAACTCCTGACCTCAGGTGATTTGCCCGCCTTGGCCTCCCAAAGTGCTGGGATAACAGGCATGAGCCACTGTGCCAGCCCACTTCTTAATACTAAGGTTTTTTTTTCTCTATTCATGAAAGTCCAGTGTAGTTTTCCAGAGACTAAGTGGCATGAGATGTAGTAACAGACTGAATATAGAAACAAATATGAGATTCCAGCTGTCTTCTCTTAAACTGGGCATTAAAAAGATTTGTAAAAACATAAAACGATGCCACTGTTTCCAATAAATCTTTTGGGAAAATATGGGATTTTTAAAAAATAAAAAATTATTTAACATGCAGTGGATTTATTATTCTTTAAAAAAGCAGTACGTGGGCCAGGCATGGTGGCTCACGCCTGTATCCCAGCACTTTGGGGGGCAGACCACCTGAGGTCAGGAGTTTAAGACCAGCCTGGCCAACATGGTGAAAACCCATCTCTACTAAAAATACAAAAATTAGCCAGGCGTGGTGGTGCGCACCTGTAATCCCAGCTACTTGGGAGGCTGAAAAATCACTTGAACCCAGGAGGTGGAGGTTGCGGTGAGCCAAGATCGTGCCACTGCACTCCAGCCTGGGCAACATTAGGAGACTCCATCTCAAAAAAAAAAAAAAAAAAAAAAAAAGCAGTACATATTTATAATTGTTTATTAATTTAAATGTCTGATATGATAAATATCTATAGCTATCATCCACATAACAAAAGGTCCTTGGAGTCCTTGGTGTTAAGAGGTCTGTGACCAGTTTTAGAACTTGTGCTCTATGGCCAACTTGTATGAGCCTGTGTACCTAGGAAAACTCTTGTAAACATTATGTCTAAACCGAAAGCCACATAATCGGTTAAAAGGTGTCTTCTGATGAAAATAGACCCTTACCGGAAAGCCTATTTATGGCAGTAGATTCTGTTGGGGTACAAGCTGTTTATATCTCAATAAACCTTGCCAGTTAGTGCATAGTACATAGTAGATTGTTAATGAATCAACAAGGTCTTTAAAAATTAATCATTAAACACTTTAACAGTAGGTCAACCATGGCAGAGAGGTTAAAATTTGGAGTGTGACTTCAAGACACTTGGAGATTACTGGAGTGGAACAAGATCCCGTGGAAGCCTGTTGACCAAAAACTTCCAGCAGCACAAATCTGGGTTATAGCAGGTGACTTTACTGATAACCCACTGTCATGGGCATTTGTGGCAAGTTCCAGCGCGGGGGCAGTTGCATGGCATGTAGGTAAGTACCTGGGCTCTGCCTTCAGTGTTTAGCTAAATCCTGGCTCTACTGACTTCGTGACTTATGGTAAGTATCCCCATTCACTGCCCTGTGTGTCAGTCTACCCATTTGTCAAATAATTAGGGCTGCTATAAGGATTAAATAAAATAATGCTCTGGGGTGGGAAATGGCCAGCAAAACCTGCCCTCCTCCCTTCCTGGGCACAAGGCTGATTGCACTGGGCAGCCCCGATTTGTGTCTAGCTGTGGCTAACTCTTGCCAGTGGAATGAAAGGGACTGTGATTCACACAATTTCTGCCTCCCGTGATTAAGAGGGAGCTCCCTGCCCTTGTCTTCCCCTCCTTTCTGACTTCTTTTTGGTCAGGATGGTGACTGAGTCCCCTTGCAGGCTGTGTGTAAGGAAAACAGTAGAGCTGCTAGCAGCCTGGGTTCCTGTTGGAACAGAGAAGCCACTGACTTGGAGCCTCCCCGTGGACCGAGACATGGAACAGAATGAATTTCCTTATTTTAGCCGTGTTATTGCTGAGTCACTTGTTACAACAGTGCAGGCTTTCACCCTAAAACATTCATGCACATTGTTTCCAAGTGTGGCTGCTCATGATAAGGGCTGGGTAAACTTTGCTATTAGGACCCTGCTGTCTTGCTCTAGAAGGATACAGCTACTCCAGTCTCAGCACAGGAAAGACACACAGAACACCTTTTTTTTTTTCTTAAGATAGGGTCTCATTCTGTAGCCCAGGCTGGAGTGCAGTGGCACAATCTTGGCTCACTGCAACCTCTGCCTCTTGGGTTAAGCAATTCTCCTGCCTCAGTCCCCTAAGTAGCTGGGATTACAGGTACACATCACCACACTGGCTAATATTTGTGTCTTTAGTAGAGCAGGGGTTTCACCATGTTGGTCAGGCTGGTCTCGAACTCCCGACCTCAAGTGATCTGCCCACCTCAGCCTCCCAAAGTGCTGGGATTACAGGCATGGACCACCACGCCCAGCCACACAGAACATATTCTGACTCTTTTGCAGCATTGCAGAGACACACGCTTTGTCTTTAGACTTCACGGCTCAGTAGGTGTGTGACGTGGGCAAGTTACTTCACCTCTGCAAATCTGCTTCATTATCCGCTAAACGAGGGAGAAATAACAACACCTCCTTCACAGAATAGTGGCGAGCCTTCAATGAGGTAACACCTGTAAACTGTTGAGCTTTCTTCCGTAAGTGCTAAATAACTGTGTGCTACTATTTTAATGACCATCTTCCGTATTCCTAGTAGGGAGCAGATCATAAATTGCCACCTGTTGAAGTTGTTCTGAATCCGGGGTTGGTCGCTGCATCTTGCAGGTGTTTTGCCCAGCAGGATGATCACCTGATAGTGAAAAGCATCTGGTTTTCAGTCCCAGGGCCTTCCTGTCCCCACATAGCCAAAGCCCACGGGGAGTTAGAATAAAACAGAGAAGGCAGATATGGGACCTGTTGGCTACACCTTAGGAAATGTCTGTTCTCATGGTGTCTGTTGATGTGGCTACAGCCTAGACCTTAATGCAAGCCTGGCTCTAAGAAGCAAATTGTCTTGATTGTTTTTTTTTTTGTTTTTTGTTTTTTTTGTTTCGTTTTTGAGACGGAGTCTTGCTCTGTTGCCCAGGATGGAGGGCAGTGGCGCGATCTCTGCTCATTGCAATCTCTGCCTCCCGGGTTCAAGCGATTCTCCTGCCTCAGCCTCCCGAGTAGCTGGAATTACAGGTGCCCCCTAACACGCCTGGGTAATTTTTGTATTTTTAGTAGAGATGGGGTTTCACCATGTTGGCCAGGCTGGTCCCAAACTTCTGGCCTCAGGTAATCCACCCACCTAGGCCTCCCAAAGTGCTGGGATTACAGGTGTGAGCCACCGCGCCCAGCCCTGATTGTTTCTGTTTGTTTGTTTTGAGACAGGATCTTGCTCTGTCACCCAGGCTGGAGTGCAGTGGCATGCTCACAGCTCACTGCAGTCTCGACCTCCTGGGCTCAAGCGATCCTCCTGCTTTAGCTTCCTGAGTAGCTGAGACTATAGGTGTGCGCCAACTCACTTGACTAGTTTTTTAATTTTTTTGTAGAGACAGGTTCTATGTTGCGTAGGCTGGTCTCAAGCTCCTGGGCTTAAACGATCCACCCGCCTCGGCCTCCCAAAGTGCTGGGATTACAGGCCTGAGCCACAATGCCCAACCTCAAATATTTCATGGGTTACATATTATATCATCGTCTCTAATGTCGTCTAAATTCTACAACTTTCATTATCATAATCACCCACATCCATAATAAATAGTAGAGGGGAGGCTTTAGTGACATTCCATTGACTAAAGCAAAGGCGAGCAAACCATTCTCTCCATCTGCCAGGCCGGATCTGGCCCACTGCTTGTTTTTATCAATAAAGTTTTATTGGAACACATCCATGTTCATTTGTTTACCTGTCATCTCTGGCTCTTTTTGTGCAACAATGGTAGAGCTGAATACCTGTGACAGAGACCACATGGCCTGCAAAGCCTAAAATATTTACTACCTGGCCCTTTACAGAAAATACTGCCCTTTGACCCATAGCGTCTCCCTGTGAGGTACCGTCTCCAGAGTCCAGGGAACTGGAAGGAAAAACCTTCAAACTCTCCCATTCCCATTCCCACTCAGAAGTTGCTAAAACCCTCCAGGAAGAAACGTGAATTCAAAGCAACTGTCTGCTAACAAAGGTAAATCCTTCTCTGGAGCCCTCCAGCTTGACTAACAGCCCATTTGCCATCAACCTGGTTATTATGAGAATTTCAATTAAATATAATCCTTCTTCTCTCTCTCTCTTTTTTTTTTTTTTTTTGAGACAGAATCTCACTCTGTTGCCCAGGCTGGAGTGCAGTGGCACCATCTCGGCTCACTGCAACCTCTGCCTCACGAGTTCAAGTGATTCTCATGCCTCAGCCTCCGAGTAGCTGGGATTACAGGTGCACACCACCAAGCCCAGCTAATAAATATAATTCTTCTATGTGTGTGTCTAAACTACTGAGAAAAAGCACAAACAGGACAGAATTGTGAACAAAGCACTCTCTTGAGGCTTTTCTCTGTTAGATACTTTCAAACGTAAAAAACAGGCCAGGCGCAGTGGCTCACGCCTGTAATCCCAGTCCTTTGGGAGGCCAAGGCGGATGGATCGCTTGAGGTCGGAAGTTCGAGACCAGCCTGATCAACATGGAGAAACCCCATTTCTACTAAAAATACAAAATTAACCATTGCACTCCAGCCTGGGCAACAAGAGTGAAACTCTGTCTCAAAAAAAAAAAAAAAATTCCAAAATAATTTTGCCAAGGGAAGAAGCCAGACACACAAAAAGTACATACTCTGATTCATTTACATACAAATGTAGAATCCGGGAACAAATTTCTTGTGATGGATATATGTTTGCCTGGGGATGGGAAAGGCAGGAGGGAGGGGTCACAGAGGGGAAGAAGGAAATTTCTCGGGGCGATGGTGATATGGTTTGGCTGTGTCCCCACCCAAATCTCATCTTGAATTGTAGCTCTCATAACTCCCATGTGCTGTGGGAGGGACCTGGTGGGAGATAATCGAATCACAGGGGCAGTTTCCTCCATACTGTTCTCGAGGTGGTGAATAAGTCTCACGAGATCTAATGATTTTATATGGTTCCCCCTTTCACTGTGTTCTCATTCTTTGCCGGCCGCCATGTAAGATGTCTCTGTGCTCTTCTGCCATGATTGTGAGGCCTCCCCAGCCATGTGGAACTGTGAGTCCATTAAACCTGTTTCCTTTATAAACTACCCAGTCTCGGGTATGTCTTTATCAGCAGTGTGCAAATGGACTAATACAGATGGGTATGTTCGTTCTCCTGTAATGGTTTCATCGGTTATGCCTGTGTCAAAACTCTTCAAATTGTACATGTATGTGTAGTTTATCATGTCATTTCTACCTCAACAAAGTTGTTTTAAGGAATCATAAAAGTCTTTATATAAATGGGTTCTTATGGAAAAACATGGACCAACATTACATGAAAGAAGCCGTGGTTGAAGTTGAGATGGAGGATTAGGGGCTGGAGGGAATTTCTTGGCTTCTGTGGGCTTCCATGAAATTGTGAATGCACTACAGATTATAACGGTGGTGTGGCAGTATTTGAGTGTCTTGGTTCCCCTTATAAGTACTTTTTTTTTTTTTTTTTGAAAGAGTCAGGGTCTTGCTCTGTTGCCCAGGCTGTAGTGCAGTGGCAAAATCATAGCTCACTGCAGCCTTGACCTCCCAGACTCAAGCCATCCTCCCACCTCATCCTCCCAAGTATCTTGGACTATAGGTGTGCACCACCACATCTGGCTAATTTTTGTAGTTTTTGTAGAGATGGGGATCTCACTCTGTTGCCCAGGCTGATCTCTAACTCCTGGACTCAAGCAATCCTCCTGCCTTGACCTCCGAAAGTGCTGGAATTACAGGTGTGAGCCACTGTGCCCAACTTCAAGTACATTCCTATATTTAAATGCGTATGTATTTCTTCATGGAGCTAAATATCGGCACTCTGTTTCTGCTATTCAGTGTTAAAATGTCTGGAATGTACTCCTGGATTCAGCCATTCCGCAGATATTTCTTAAGTGCAAATGTGTGCCAGGCAGTGTTCTAAGCTCTGGGGGTTAAACAGAAAGTGTGGCAGGTCTATCCTCACTCTTGGGTCTTCATTCTCACTCTCTAGGGGCTTCTTCTCCCAGCCTAAGATCACACTGCAGTGTTTCTCAAACTATGAACTAGAGCTACACACAAAGGCTTTTCTGACCTCTGTCTCCCTCTAGCTGCTGCACTGGCTTCCCTTCTTTCCCTCCACTGATCAGTTCCTGACAGTTTACACTTGCCACTCCCTGTGGGGCGCACCCGACCTCCTTGCAGGGTGGAGGCATTCACTGCCTGACTGCTGGGAGAGTGTGGCAGCCAGCTCCCAGCTGAGTCTCCCCAAAAGGAATTGTCCTTAGCCAGAGGAAGGACAATTCCCCTAAATCCACAGCCTAAATCCAGTGCTTGGTCAGTGGGGTGGTCCCTGTCCTTCCTTGGGTGCAGAGCATATTTGAGGGACATCCCAGCTGCACAGCTCCCTGAGAGGTTGGCTGAGGCCTCTGTTGCGACCTCACTGCAGCTCAACTTCTCCCTCTGCCCTGTCCTGCCTCCCTTCCTCCCTTATCAATGTACTCTGAGGATATTTTCCAATAAGCCACCTCCACTCAGATCTGCACCTCAGAATGTGATTCTTGGGAAATCCAATCTACACCACCACCTTCATCTCCATTATCCATTAACCCCTCACCCCACTGGGACCTGGCGTCTGCCTCTACCCCAAAAATGATCTCCACTGTCACAGAACCATGCATGGCTTTCCCCATAGATTTCTTGACAGGCAGCATTTCAGACCATGGCTTTCTCCTTCCCTGAAATTTCCCCTCTCCCCAGATCTGAGACTCCACTCTCTCATGTTGTCCATGCCCAACCCTCACCTCATCAATGCCTCTTTGAATCTTTGACTCTTCCTGCTCAGATCTCTAGTCTCCTTTCTTCTTCTCAAATTATGATATTTCCTGAGCCCTCATTCTACATGCTTACCCATTTCCATGCCTCAGCCATCACCTGTGATTTACAAACCCCAAATTGATATCTCTATTATTGGTTTCTTCCTTAAACATGCATCTATCCATCCATTTATCCATCCATCCATTTATCCATCCATCCGTCAATCCATGCATCCATCCAACCATCCAGCCATCTATCCATTCATCCATCCATCCATCCATGCATCCGTCCATCCATGCATCCGTCCATCCATCCATCCATCCATCCATCCATGCATCCATCCATCCATCCATCCATCCATCCATCCATCCATCCCTGCATCTGTCCATCCATCCATCCGTCCATCCATCTGTCCAACCATCCATCCATCCATCCGTCCATCTGTCCATCCGTCTGTTCATCTGTCTGTCCATCCATCCATTCATCCATGCATCCAACAAATATTTTCAGTGCTCTGAGCTAGGTGCTAAGGATACAGTGGTGAAAAAATATAGTGTCCTCACCACTTAAAAGCAGCTGTCAACTGGACAGCTCCACTGGGCTGTTTCCCAGGCTCCTTGATACATCATATTGCACACCCACCTGCCACTCCCTGCACCAGGAAACCCACTCTTATCCTCCAGGGTCCTCTCCCTTAGCTAGTAGTGGTTCACCAAGTCAGAAACGTGAGATTGTCCTAGACTCCTCTCCTTCACTCTCCACAGACCCTAGCATCCATCTCATTGGCTCTTCATGCATTTAGCTCTTCCTCGCATCTCTATGCTACAGCCCTGATTCCGGCTTTTATAAATTCTTGTCTCAACTTCCAAATTAGTTTCCCAGCTAGCCTCAAGGCCCAGACCCTTCCAGTTCCTGCTCCACACCCTCCTAGAGGGGTTGGTTAATGTTCGCTCTTCAAGCACGTCACCCACCTTGGATCCCTTTTCTACCCCTCCTGACTGTGCTCGGTGCTCCATGAAGCTGATTGCTGTGGGTTTCAGGTGATATCACCCGGCTCTCCTTGCTTCCTGGCATCCAGTTAGGTTTGACCGTTCAAGCAGGCTGGGCGTGGTGGCTCACGCCTGTAATCCCAGCCCTTTGGGAGGCTGAGGTGGGAGGATCACTTGAGCCTGGGAGGTTGAGGCTGCAGTGAGCTGAGATTGCACCACTGCACTCCAGCTTAGGTGACAGAGTGAGACCCTGTTTCAAAAAAAAAAAAAGACACCTCTTGATAGCCGTTTATATAGATCTATCTCATTGTCTTAGTGGCTAAACATTCCGGCTTCCGGATGAAGTATAGTTTATTTAACTGTTCCCTTCTTAGAACCAGCACTACTAGTTGTTCCCCAATATCCAGTCTCTCCTTCTTCCCCAATAGCAGAAGTGTCACATCTAAGCTGGGGACAAGACATTCAGAATAAAGACTATGAGTTGCAGCCTTCCTGCTCATGTGATTTTCTTCTGCCCAATGGCATGTGAGCATAGCTGGGGGTCATGCCCTTAGTGGGGAGGAGCATGCTCTCCCCATCCCTCTCTTTCTCCACTGGCTGGGATGTGACTGTGGAAGTGAGATATCTGTGCCTCTGCAGATGAAGACAGTGTTGCAATGATGGAAGGCGTCTTGGGTCCTTAAGTAGAGCGAGGATACCAGCCCTGGACTCCTTACAGCCAGACATTCCATGACAACAGGTTGGTCTAACTCCAAAGACCACATTAACCAATAACCAGTAGCAACTTCCGAGGGCAAAGAAAAGCACGTGAAAAGATCTCGTCCTCTGTTATGCTCCCTGACCTCGGACACTCACAACTTTGCCGTTTCTGCACGTTGCCTCAACTGTTATTTACCTAACAGCTTCTTTCAATTTAGCCCTCTTCTAAAATACAACAGAAATGTATTTATTTAAAGGAAAACTAGCTGGGCACGATAGCTCATGTCTAATCCCAGCACTTTGGGAGGCCAAGGTGGAAGGATCGCTTGAGCCCAGGAGTTCGAGAGCAGCCTGGGAAACATAGTGAGATCTCATTTCTACAGGGAAAAAAAAAAATTAGCTGGGCATGGTGGTGTGTGCCTGTGGTCCCAGCTACTCAGGAGGCTGAGGTGACAGGACCTCTTGAGCCCAGGAGGCCGAAGCTACAGTGAGCCATGATCATGCCACTGCACTCCAGCCTGGGGGACAGAGTAAGACCCTGTCTCTAAACAAACAAACAAATAAAAGGAAAACTTGGCAGGACATGGTGGCTCATGACTGTAATCCCAACACTTTGGGAGGCCAAGGCAAGTGGATCACGAGGTCAGGAGTTCAAGACCAGCCTGGCCAAGATGGTGAAACCCTCTCTTTACTAAAAATACAAAAATTAGCTGGGCGCGGCAGCAGACACCCGTAATCCCAGCTACTCGGGAGGCTGAGACAGGAGAGTTGCTTGAACCCTGGGGGCGGAGGTTGCAGTGAGCCAAGATCACACCATTGCACTCCAGCCTTGGCAACAGAGAAGACTCCATCTCAAAAAAAAAAAAAAAAAAAGAAAAAAAAGAAACCTTAACAGACCATTGTTTGCCATATCCAACAGGGAGTGATGAAAAACCCAATAAAACCAAACAATGTTATTAAATCAAAAATTAAAAACAAAATGAAATACAGGTACCTAAAAAATAAGTTCCCAAAGAGAAGAATGGGCCTTTTGTTGCTTATGCAATAACGACCTGTAGTCATTGCTAGTACCCATAACCTTTAACTTTATGCCTGAAAAGTCCATTTTAATCACTTAAGATTTAATCACGTGATCTCATTTTCATCACAGTGACTCTAGAAGATGCAATGATGGCAAGGGGCTTGGGTTCTGGTGCCACAGCAGAACTGGGGCAAAACCCCCCGCAACCTGCACCTTGGGCCTCCCGGGATCAATGGCTAGGCCTCACCACAGCACAGGGTCCTAAAGGGTCTTGGGGTCACTTGCTGAGATGATTTTTTTTTTTAACTTTTTGTTGTCAACTTATTTACTTCTCTGCCAATATTCAAATAGGTAAGCATTCATAAAACAGCAAAAAAAAAAAAAAAAAAAAAAAAAAAAAATTCCTCTAGAACGGCCAAAGAATCTGTTCTACTTTACTTTTTAGAAACCTGGAAACCAGGAGCTCTGGCATTTGTGGAATAGCAGCATTGAAAATATCTACGATAGGCTGGGCTCAGTGGCTCATGCCTGTAATCCCAGCACTTTGGGAGACCGAGGTGGGCGGATCACCTGAGGTCAGGAGTTTGGGACCAGCCTGGCCAACATGGTGAAACCCCGTCTCTACTAAAAATACAAAAATTAGCTGGGTGTGGTGGCGCACACTTGTAATCCCGGCTACTCAGGAGGCTGAGGCAGGAGAATAGCTTGAACCGGGGAGGCGGAGGTTGCAGTGAGCCGAGATCAAGCCACTGTACTCCAGCCTGGGTGACAGAGTGAGACTCCGTCTCAAAAAAATAAAAAATAAAAAAAACCTCCTATATCAAAAATATCATTTGATGATCATTACTACATAAGAGCTTTGTTCACAGTGTTGGGATAATTGCAGATTCACATGTGGTTATAAGGAACAATACAGAGATGTCCTGTACTCTCAACCCAGTTCCCCTCAATAGTCACATCTTGAAAAACTATCATAGTACAATATCACAACCAGGAGACTGACAGTCATCTGGTTCACTGACTGCATTCAGATGTCCCGGGTTTTACTTGTATTCATTGTGTGTGTGTGCGCACACACACGTGTGCACGTGTGCATTTAGACATGAAGCAGGAAAACAAAGTGATAGCAAATTGTAACGTGCTATAAAAAAGTAAAGGTTTTAAAACATGCTGGGGCCCTATTAAATCAGACTGTCTGGGGTGGCGCCTGAGCTTTGGGGTATTTCCAAGTGGTTTTAATAGACAGCCAGGCCTGGGTAGCACGGCCTTAGCCTTGGAGCCCTGCCCTCATTCCTTCTCTGGGGGTCTCACTCTATTGCCCAGGCTGGTCTCTAACTCCTGGGCTCAAGCGATTCTCCTCTCAGCCTCCCAAAGTGCTGGATTACAGCCGACGGCCACCGCACCTGACCCAGTGGTCACCTTTCACTGTCCCCCTTGCCCACTCTGTCTCAGACACCCTGGGCTCCGGGCTGTTACCTGAATTGTCCTTTCCCCAAGCTGGGCTGTTGCTTCCCATCTTTCAGGTGTCTGCTTGGACGCCACCTCCTCAGAAAGGAGTATTTTACGCCAATGCTCAGGCCATCTTTGGTGGGTTCCGAGCAGGGGTGACCAGGGATTGCCAGTGTGCCACGGGGTCCCACTGCCCCCATTCATCTCCCAGCCTCTTGTCTTCACAGTAGTTCTCTGTAGATATGGGGGCAGTGGTTGAGGGGTGCTTTCCACAGAATATGGAGCCAAAGCCTTAAAGCAAGAGCCCCCCCAACCCCCAAACCTCCCAAGGCCCGGGCTCAGCACTCCTGGGGGAGGGAGGGGTCTGTCGGGTACAGGAGAGGATTGATTAGATAAGGCAGAATCGCAAATGCGTAGAGCTCTCCCTCTGCAGTGTCAGTGTCCCTGGAGCACATCTGACCCCATCAGGCAGGAAGTCTCCACATGGTGAGAGCACGACTTTAACCTCTCCTGAACCCTTTCTAACCTCTCTTCTCACCTTTGATAAGTATATCTACCCAGAATGGAATACATTTTGTTTTTATTTCTTGTATAGCTCTCTTTTATATATGGACACTGATTTTCTGTATAAGGTAATGATATCAACTTTCCTTTATAAAGAAATTGGAGGAGTTGATTAAACAATTTTTTTTAAAATTTATTTTTGATCTGAGTGTCTCAGGTTGAACATGTTGCCCAGGTTGGTGTCAGACACCTGGGCTCAAGCAATCCTGCTTCAGCCTCAGGGATTATAGGCTCGTGCCTCTACGCCCCGCAGAAGTTGATTTTATCACTATGAAATCGATAGAAACCCAGGCGGTTCAGGGATGCAGCAACATTGTAACAGTCTATGTACTGGATTCAGGTCTGCAGATTAGGTCCTGGCATCACTTGGTTGGAATTGCAGACTGCTGTCCTGCTCTCCCTGCAGGCTGGAGCGACCTGGAGTCAACTGTTAGCCAGGACAGGGGTCTCCGTGGGCTTCGACAGGGCCCTTGAATTCAAGGCTGGGTCAGCCGGTGGGAGTCATTCTCTTGCCCCTTTGCCGGGGCTCAGCCAATAGGACTCCCTGCCACCTGTCATCTGTCAGCACAGCTCTAAGGAACCTCTTCAGCCCTGCTTCTTAGAGTGGTACTGGGTCCTGACTGCACCCTGCTGTGGTGTGGTTCACCTTCTGGAAGCATCAGACTTTCTGAAGAAAAGCAATTTAAGTGGCTATTTGAAGCCGTATTTTTAGAGGAAAAGATGTGGAGCAGAATGCAACATTCACATTCAGCTTAACCTAAAATTCTTAAGCTTTAAACTCTGCCCCTGGATCCCAGGGGGGTCCGCATGCTGTGTCCTCTAGCTTTGGGGGTATGTTGGTGGACAACTTGAGACACTGTCCACCAGTGCAAATGGCACTGTGGTTTTCTGTTCCTAGGGCCAGGCTGGAAAGCTCTGAAAATAACACTGCACTTGGCAGGGCCAGGCACGGTGGCTCACACCTATAATCCCGACACTTCAGGAGGCCGAGGCAGGCGGATCACTTGAGCCCAGGAGTTCGAGACCAGCCTAGGCGACCTGGTGAAACCCCATCTCTACTAACAACAACAACAACTTAGCTGGGCGTGGTTGCTCATGCCTGTAATCCCAGCACGTTGGGAGGCTGAGGCGGGCGGATCACTTGAGTCCAGCAGTTCGAGACCAGCCTGGGCAACATGATGAAACCCCATTTCTAATAACAAAAAACAAAAACAACAACAGCAACAAAAACTTAGCTGGGCGTGGTGGCTCACGCCTGTAATCCCAGCACGTTGGGAGGCTGAGGCAGGCGGATCACTTGAGACCAGCCTGGGCAACATGGTGAAACCCTGTCTCTACAAAAAATAGCTGGGCGTGGTGGTGCACGCCTGTAGTTCCAGCTACTTGGGAGGCTGAGGTAGATCACTTGAGCCTGGGAGGTTGAGGCTGCAGTGAGCTGAGATTGAGCCACTGCACTCCAGCCTGGGCGACAGAGTGACACTGTCTTAAAACAGAATAAAACTTTTGAAAAAGCACCTGGCATGTAGAGAACCCTTAACACACCAATGCCGTTACCCTCCCTCCCGTTGGACCATGTAAATACCTATTCATGCAAAGTTCCGCCAGGGCTGAAGGCCTGGTCTCTGTCAAGGTCCATATGGGTTCCAGTTCTGGCTTTTGTTCCGAGACACCCCTCTGCACATTTGAAATCAAAGGGTCAGCAGGAAAAGATCTGAACTTTGGAGAAGAGGAAAAACCAATTAAGTCCCAATGCATGGAAACGATGCCTTAGCCAAACGTTAAGATGGTTTGCTCAGTGCAACCTCAATTTGTCATCCCCCCAACTTTTTGAGACTGGGTCTCACTATATTGCCCAGGCTGGCCTCGAACTCCTGAGCTCAAGTGATCCTCCTGCCTCGGCCTCCCAAAGTGCTAGGATGACAGGCATGAGGCCACCATGCTTGGCCATCCCTCAGTCTTGATGCAAATACTCCCCCTTCATCTCAGTCCCTACCTTCATGCCATTCAACCTGAATTTGATCCTCTGGGTCAAGGGCCCCAATTTGACCTTGTCGTCATTCCCCGGTTCATCCACCTGCACAAGCCAACAGTGTGGCACTACCACAGTCTCCTGTCCTCAGGTGTCAATAGGTGACAGCTCAGCTATTATTCCTTGCAATATTTATTCAGCCACTATCATCGATCTGAGAAGGTGGATTACAAAGACTAGAGAGAGCCTATTCAGCATGTGGTGGCCTAGCACAGTTCCTTGAAATGATGGAAGGAGCTAATTACTCTTGACTGGGGAAGGAAGTCCAGGGCAAGCTGCCCTCCAGTCTTTGAGGGTGGAAAGCATAGCACCGCAGAGAAGTTGAGGTTCATTAGAGCTGGGAACACACCCAGGGGAGCAGAGCAAGGAGGGATATTTGAAAATGTGTAAATGCCTGAGGCCAGGCGCAGTGGCTCATGCCTGTAATCCCAGCACTTTGGGAGGCTGAGATGGGCAGATCGCTTGAGCTTTGGAATTTGAGACCAGCCTGAGCAACACAGTGAAACCCCATTTCTATTAAAAATACAAAACTTAGCCGGATTCGGTGATAGGTGCCTGTAATCCCAGCTACTTGAGAGGCTGAGGGACGAGAACCGTTTGAGCCTGGGAGGCAGAGGTGACAGTGAACTGATATCCAGAGTGAAACCCTGTCGAAAGAAAAAAAAAAAAAGAAAGAAAAAGAAAGAAAAAAGAAAAAGGAAGAAAGTAGAAAGAGAAAAGGAAAAAAGAAAACAAAGAAAAAACGTGTTAAGTGCCTGTGTTAAAAAGTTTACCCTGACTCTTGGTGGCTCTGCGTGACTAGAAAGCCCCGAGCCATGGGCCCAGCATGGTCAGCTGCAGGTCTGTGCCAGACAAAGGGCAGCATCCAGGCACTGGCAGTCGGGATTAAGACCGAGAAGTAAGGGTGGCTTAGGGAATAGAGCTGTATTTATTTAAGGACTAGGCAAAGATCCAAACCACTTTAAAAAATTTTAAATCAAACACTTTATTTCCACATAACAAGCGCAAAAAACTCCCAAACACTTTAACAATACAATTAACGCAGTTATGAATTATATACTACTCAAAGCCCCAAGGTCAGAAGGTCAATCAGCTTAACGCTCCAAACATTTCCAGACATGGTTTTTCAAAGCTACCTTTGGTTTTTGGAAAAACCAGTATGGAAGTCAATATACATTGAACGCACTGAATAACATTTGCTTATAGTAAGGTGTCCGACAACATTAGCTCACACCTGGCAAGTTGGAGCATGATCTGAAGTCATACACTGAAATCCATACACAGGTTTCGCCCCCGAGCTCCTGCAGGGAGAAGCGAGGGCCGTGAAGGGGGAAGAAAAGGCCAGTCCGGGTGTGGCGTTTCTCGCTTTGTAACAGAGGTATGAGAGTTTAACACTAGTACACTGTCAAGTCATTAAGCTTCATGTTCCACATGGTTTCTTGCTGAGGCTTGAGATGGGCACAAATGGTGGGGAAGATGAAGTCACAGAAGAGTTTTGAGCAACAAGATCCCAAAGATGCTCAGAGAGGGTGGGAAGGAGCAAGCTACAGTTTCCCATTGTTCTCACATTATTTCAGGGTGAAATTGTGATGAGTTCAGATAAAATGTTCAAATATTTGCTTAGATTTTTAATCGGTTGCTCTATGAGAACCCTCATACATAGCAACTTTGAAACTTTCATTATAAAAAAGAGCCTACAAATAAATTCACAAAAAGGAGACAATTAATGTTGAGCAGCCAAAAAGTCATGGTTTATTATATCTGAAGAAATTTCATAATTCAAACACAACCAAACTGTACATTTTACAATCACATTCTATTTGTAAACAGTTAAAAGCCACTGACTTCTTTTGCATCTTAGGACACAAACAGTTAGAATCAAGGCAATGATATGATGGCAAATTCTGTACTGTTAAAATTTTTACCCTTGTTTAGTCTCTCTTCTTTGACTAAGCAAGCATTATAATACCATTTGTGGGCAAAAAAAGGGGGGAGGAAAGAAAGTTTAAAATGGTGTAACTCGTTAGTTTGCAACAACATTTAAAATTTTCTTTATACAACAAACAACTCTGTAAGCCCAATACCTTGGTTACAGTATGCATAGTTACTGATTTCGGCTTTAAGGTACAACAGTTAAACATTAACACAGTCACGAGAGAGCAGAAACATATGGAGCCACTTGATGGGATTACAAAAAATTATTACCTATTGATTATTAGCAAACCATCATCACTCACTAATAAAAAGACAGCATCTGAAAGCAGAATGTCAAACTCCAGCTTTAAGCGTTTTTTTGTTTTTTCTTTTTTTTTGGCAGAGAAAATTCTTTAACAGAGCAATATGTAGTATCAGTGCTAAAAGTTGGGGTTTTTCTTTTTTTCCTCTAAGAAACTACAAGGAATTTTTTTTTTTTTTTTTAAACTGGGGAACTGGTTTTCCTGAGAACCATGCTCTTTGATTTGGGACAGGAATAGAAAAACAAAAGAACATGGCCAAATGCTGCTCCTTTTTCCCAGAGATAGAAAGCATCTTTTAAATCATCCTCCATTTTTTTTTTGTCTTTTACATTTTTTTTAAATGATGGAAGAGTAAACATTTTTTTTTCTCAAAAAACAAACAAAAAAATCTGTAAACAAGAAGGTTCAAAGTGAGAACCTCCAAAACAAAATGGAAAGCCTATTCAAAGTGCAGGGCCCGTCCTGGGTGGCAGGTGGGCTGCAAGTCACAGCTGTGGCCACAGTTTTTCAAACTGCAGAGCGAAATTCTTTAGTTTTACAACATGAAAAAACTGGTGCAACACTTTCATTAATAATCCTAAGTCAGCATCCTAACTTGATCTTTTAAACTCCACGATACCACAATAAGGTAGGCAACATCAAGGCATAGTAGAGAGCGCACGCCTCCTAAGAACACCCTTGAGTAAACATTGACACTGGGACAGCTGCCCCCCATACTGCCGATGAGACGGAGAGAACATCATTCAGTGCAAAGGGAAAAGCTCATACGTTATCAGCCCAAAAAATGGTTTTGCAAGAGAGAAAAAAAGGGGCGGGGGGGGGGGTTGGGGAGGAATAGAAGGAAAAAAAAAAAAAGAATCCAAAGGCTAAACATGATGAATAGACACAAGCGAGCTCATTCTCTACGGTTTAGCATGTATGGCGCTATTTGGGAGTGTAAATAGAGTAGATACCTTTTCACATTATAATATTGGCCTGCATGATTCAAGTATTCAAACTGATATGTTTTGGGGAAAACAAAGTGGAAAATGTGCAGAGAATAGCTGTTCCCACAGGCGGCCCCTGGCTGCAGGCGGCGAGCCCCACTTAGTGCTCCTTTCCCTCGCGTCTGAGGTCCCGGTCGGTGAGTCTGCATCTACACTGTTACATGGACTCTCCACCCCCACCCAGGTGGTCAACAGAAAGAAAAGCGTTAATGGGAGATGGGCTGCTAATTCCTCGGGGGTCGCTGCTGCTTGGGGGACCCCACAGGCTTGTGGAATAATGCGGGGTCCCCCAGAGTGAAGTGCCGTGAAGGTCTCCACAGTTAGTTCCCGACAGCCCAGCACCATTCCAGTGATTGAGATCGGTCCGGCTGGAGAATGAGTGGGAACAGTCGAGGGAGCCCAGCCGGCTCTGGCTGGACCCGAGAGACTGCCAGCCGGGAGAAGGGGTCAGAGACTGGCTTTGTGCAAAGAAACGACTGATCTCCTCTTCACTGGCAAACTCAGCAAGAATAGTAGTGTTCCCCAGTACACACCTAGAGGAGAGAGGCACCGCGGACACGTGAGGACAGCACACCAGGAGGGCTTCATTCACTCACAAGTGAGGGTGCAACTTGTCTCTGCTAGAAAAGCCACAGAAGGCACAGAGGGAGAGACTACACCACATAACCTGCGTGCCCTCCCTTCACCCGAGTGTGCACCCACAGCTCTCCAGGGCCTGGTGCCTTGCCCAGAGCGAACTTCCTCTGTCTGCCATGGGCAACGTAAGGGACTTTCTAGGGCCATCTAGCCAGGTCTGATTCCCCGCTTAGGAATGCCGACCTTGGAATCAGGGCACTACTGCAGCCAGCAGGAGCCACCCACGCAGGACCCTGTGCACTGCCCCGGGTCAGGCTGTGCTCTCACACTCCTTCCCCTAGACTCTTCCAACTGGGAGCCCAACAGCCAACTTACATGTGCAGAGACTTTTGTGCCTTCACTACCTCTTCTTTTGAACTGTAGCGGACCAGAGCATTTCCGTGAGGGAGGTTCAGGTGGAATGTGATCAGCGGGCCGTGCTGCATGCACAGAGTGCGCAGAGTTGAGCCATCGATCTAGGAAACAGTGTGGAAACTGCCAGTGAGAGGCGTCACCGCGGGCCCTCCAGGAGGCTGTTTCAGGCTGCACTGCTGCCCCTCCTCTCTTTCCTGAGGCTCTGTGCTCCTGGCACCACTCTTCACTGACACTCTGACGTTGCTCTGACGGGGTGCAGAGCCATCTTCCCCACCTCCACTGCTCCCAGAGCCATACCGCTCTGGCCTCTAGACTCCTGGACACTCCCCAGATCCCCACTGTGGCTCCATGTCTTCTCTCTTCCCTGCCCTGAGGACAGCATCCATCAAGGTTCTGCTCCCTGAGGGAGGAGGGAGGTGGGAGCTCAACACCCAGCCTCCAGAGGAGGGCGCAGGCCAGGGGCTAAGAAAATGCTCTCACCTCAGGGGCAGACCAGGATTTCTCCATGTGCCAACAAGGACCACCTGTGTCAAATTCATCTGCAGGCCCTCATACAAATGCAGAGTCCCAGCCCCTAGCCCAGATCTACTGACTCAATCTCTGGGTGAGGCCTGGGAATCTGTATGCTTGGTTGGTTCCCAGGCACATTACAGCGTGAACCACCAGATTCGACCACAGCCTGCCTGAGGTCTACAGACCACTCCTCTGCTGTTTCCTCTGCTCGGCTTCACTACCACCTAGCAGCCCTTGTCTCACATACAGACCCGAACCTCTGTTCCCATGCTCCCTGGCGTAGCCACATAAACCAGCGTATCTGGTATCCTTACCTGAGGTGTAAGGTTTTTTAGAACAAGCCAATTTGTTATTCTCCCTGAGCTGCTCTCACCCCAGCTGGAACCTAAACAAGGAAAAAAAGGACAAGTCAGTTTTCCAGGACTGAAAGAGCCCAACTACAGTTACTTAGCAGATCACCTGGCCTCTTGACTTCCTTCACTTCCTTGCACTTCTACATGGGAGGCTTTCTCCCTAGGCCCAGAATTTCAGCTCGCCCTAGCCATGGCCAGGCATTAACTCCTATGGCAGGGGGCTCTGCCTCTGGCGACAGTGAGCTCAGAATGGCTCCCAGTTCACCACAGAGGAGGGCAGTGAGCCACAAAAGGCTGCATCTTTTTGAGATCTTCTCATTGATAGGAGCTAAAATAATCTCAAACGGTACCATCTGGGGAAGACTTCAGTAGTGTCTGATCACTCTGCGTGTGTGTCCTTCAGGGCATGAAGCTTTAAGGGGATTCCAGAGCTTGCGATCGCACAGATGCTCCTTGTTTTCCCCGGGGTTACTGCAGGGGCTCCCCATCTGGCCTTCCTGCTGGACCCCTGTGGCATCCACCCTTCCCCTGGGAGTACAGCCCTCATCCCTGACCCCATCTGCAACTCAAGGCACCTCACAAACACTTCAGGTGCTGGGAAAGACCATTCCATGACACAGCTCAGGCCTATCCACCTCTCACGGAATCCTCCTCCACTCCCTGCAATCCTCTCATCACTCCAACGGGAGCCTTTGTGCTTTCTCCGGTGTCTGGGCCTTGGCAGAGGCTGCCCCTCGGTTCGCTTGGCTTACTCCTACAGGTTTCCTAATTCCACTCAACTGCACCAAGCCTCCCTGGGGTGGGTTCCTGGGCCACTTTCACTAGCGCCCCTCGCTGTGTGCTGCCAGTCTCTTAGCTGGCATCCAGACAGATGTCTGCGGCCTCCAAAAACCACTCACACCAAACCAAAAACCACTCACACCACACCAATTATGTTAACTTGCATTCAGCAGCTTGGCACGTACTTTAGTGTTCTTTTCCTATAATTAACCCGCACTCAAAGGAAAAGCTGCAAGTTTTCCTACAGCCAATCACCTGTCTAAAGATCAGAAATTACATATTTAATCAGAAAATATTAATGAGGTTTTATTACTCATTTTCAGCTTGAAGATGGGAATGTTTGGTAGTTTGCAGGCAAGGTAGAGTGAAGGATAAGACTGTATTTACTGGGGAAACTGCTAGGCTCATCTGGGGCTGTGTGTGTATATGTATGGTGTGGAGACAGCACAGGCAGGAAATGATGCCAGTACAAATCCAATGTTAGTCATTATAGAATGAGGAAAGGCAGAGGAACCAGACTGCCGGGGCCTTCTGGCTTATGCCTGTTGGCCATGTATGATTAATCAACAGCACTCTCTTTCACTCTCAAATGTCCCCATTTAATACAGGCCAAGCTACCCCCCTAGTCTTCAAGGCCCAGATGGCCTGCTCCCATGTTCCCCAGACTTGCCCAATACTGCCTTCTGCTCCATGTGATGTGGTTTAAGCCTGCCATGAGCAGGAAGTTCCTACACATTTTAAGATGTAGTCTTGAGGAACTTCTGAGACAATGGAGCTTCCTAATGCATTAATGTTATTGCAGCCTGTTGTGTGCCTTTGGGTGGATCATTTGTTTACCGAAGTTCTCATTCCCCCTGATGGAGGTGAGGCAATAGTTTACCGTTCAGGTCTCTGTTAAACTCGACTGTTAGTACTGGTTAGCGTTTAGCAAATAAACCACAGAAACCCACCTTACGACTGCATCTTACCTGGGGTATATCTGGCGTCAGAATTTCCCCATCCTCCACCTATACGAAGGGGAGAATTATCCCACGTAGACAAGGGTGGCTTCTGACCAGTCAGTCCCGGAGGTGGGCGGGACGGAGCAGTGATGTTTTTAGGTGGCAAAGGGACCTTCCACAGCTCATGAGCCAGAGAGGTGTTTGTAACTGAACCAGGAGACCATGTCAATTTGGAATCACTATTTCTGGCTACTCAAAGGGGGAAAAAATGGAGAGGGGAGGAATAATGTTTAAGAAAGGAGGAAATTTAAATAATGACATCCATTCTCCCACAAAAAGCAAATCTAACAAACAAAAGAAACTTTAAAACCCCAAATCAACTAAACTGCCAAAAAAGAAAATCAGTCCAAAGGAAACTGCTTTCCATCCCTCCAAACACTCAAGCCATTGATCTGTTACTAACAGCTGTAAGACCTATGAAATTCTTAGGCCAGTGTCCAAAACTGTACTCAAACTGAAATGGAAAACAATCTGAATTGCTCTAAAATAGCAATTGTGAAATTCTTAATAACCGTAATTGAGTCACTCAAGAAAGGCCATTTAAGTGAATTTTAGAACTTTGTTGTTTACTCAGGGAAAAAAGGACTGCAAAAGAGCCCCAACTCAGGAGCTGCCAAAGGAGATCTTCACGGGGTGCCTGCCTCTCTGTGCTGAGCATTGGCTGCTGGGCACCTGGCATGTGCTGTCTGTGGTCCTGACACAGTCTACTGAAGACAGAGTGGGTAAGTAATTTGCTTATGGGTCTAATGCAGAGCCAGGATTCAAAACTAAGCCTGTATGGCAAAACAAAAAACAAAAAAACAAAAAAACAAAAAAAAAAGAAAGAAAAAGGGAGGGAAGAAGAAAGGAAAGGAAAGGAAGGAAAGACAGAGAGAGAAAGAAGGAAAGGAAGGAAGAAAGAAAAAGACAGCAGGCCCAGTTCCTGACACACACTGCCTCGCAGCAATGGAGACATGAGTGGGTATGCAGGGACCAGGTACACAGTAAACCACATCAACTATCATGCTAAAAGCATGAGGGGACAGCAAGGAGTGGAACAATTCCTGTCTTCCATCACTATCAACTCTTTTTCTTACTTCACTTACAAAGTGTGTGTGCATTAGGTCAGTGCTACTCAGGGTATGGCCAGGAGACCACCACAACACAGTTTCATACTAATCTGCTGCAGGACGAGTCCAGAAATCCAGAGTGCGCATATGTAGACAGACAGCAACCTGACATTCCTGTAACTCTCAAGTGTGCCATCATTTTCCTAGCAATTCAGAATTCATGTTTACCGTATTTTACAAAAGTATCAGTCTATGAGGATTGGCATTTTTTTTTTTTTTTAAAGATCCTCCGCTGCAGATAGTCTGAGAACTAGTTTGGATTAAATTACATTTAATTACAGAGCTGCTGTGGCTCTGAGATGAGATGAGAGCTGTTCAGTGAAAACTGATTTTAGTAGATGACTGCTGGGTACAGTAAGTTTAAAAAGGAGTAAGGGATGTTAAAAATAATTTCCCAGGCTCACAAACAGAATCTCCTAATTCCCTGAGAAGACTGGACGAAAGAAGAGGGCATTAAAACAACAGCCGCGGCTCTGGCTGTGACCAACCCTCCCTTCCTGAGCGAAGGCGAGGCCCACCTGAAGTGCTTTGTGCTGTACTGCTGAGGGGAACGTTGTAGTTGGAGGCACGAATGGATGACCAGGCACTAGTTGAAGGCAGCGTGGTGTTCAAGGATGAGGATGACCCTGTGTGGGGGAAGAGTCCAATCAGCCACCAGAGCAAGGGACGTGGAGGTTCAGAAAAAGCAAAAGCTTCCAGAGAAATCAAAGCTAACAGTATGCCACAAGAAAGGAAACAGGTCCACTCAGGGTAAGATGGTGCCCGAGACATCTTCCTTCTTGCCTTCAAAAGAGCATGCTGAGCGAGCTCGCCAATTGTCTCTGCCTTGGCTCAGCACAGGCATTTTCCCTCTGATTTTGTCCTCACTGGCTGTGAGGATGCGCTCTAGCAATGGGGTCCAGCCACCAAGACAGCACTTGGCTCTGCTTCCCAGCACTGGGTCTAAAAAGGAGGTTCGAGTCTTGGTGCTAACTCGCCCCTGAGCTCCAGTGACTTCTTACTGGCTATCCTGCTCTCTAAGGCACCTGGTCACAGACACTACTAGTGAACAGGCCCTTCAGCCTTCTCCATTACGCGATATATTCAGGCTCCCAAACCTGGTGTAGCTTTCCATTTTCAAAACCCCATCGACCACTACTCTAGTTGAGCTCTAGACCCGACCACCATCTGGATTACTACACCAGTTCCCTGGCTTGTCTCCCAACCCAATCCACTCTGCTCACCACAGCCAGATTACCCCATCTTAAAGATTCTTCCACTCAAAGCCTTCAATGTTCTATTTCCTTTAACACCAAATTCAAACTCTACTGACTTTCAGAGCCATCGGATTCTTCCACTAACTCCCACGCCATGAGAATTTATGCTTGGCTTAGTGTTCCCATAGCGGGCAGAGCTGTCTGTGAAACCCAGCCATTTCACAATGCTAAGGACTCTTCTCTGCTTGTTACCTCTGTAAATTACACGTCTAACGCAACATGGTGGCTGCTTCACATGTGCTTTATAAACTGTTTAAAGGTATAGATGGTATTTTAAAAAGACAGAAAATACTTTTTAATATTTAAAAAATTAATTTCGTTAACACTCTTCTGGTACAAAATCATGGATGAAACACATCTAAATGCCTTGAGGTGAAAAGTAACCCCGTGGCAGGTAATCGGATTTTATTTGCTAACCAATTAAAAAGCACATCTGGACTGCAGGGATCCTTAAATTGGTCTTATTCTTACTCTCTGAAAGACAGCCTAATTCGCTCTTCCAGATGAAAGTCCTTCAATATTCAGAGTATATAAGCATATATAATAATATAACGTCTTTTACAAGAAACACCCATTTTTTAAACTACCATAATCTTGTAACTCAGTATAAAGTTAGTAACAACCTTCATTTGCTGTTTTTTCATTCCTTTAATACAACTGCTGGAAAGCAAAGGTTTGCTGGTCCTTTATGTTAACTTATTAAATTAATATATATATTTGCCATACTAAGGGATGATAAAATCCTCACCATTTAAAAAGTAGCCAAATTAAAGAGCCACCTATGGGAACAGAGAGAATTCTGTCTGCCATTCTTCTTCTTCGTTTTCTTTCTTTTTTAAAGAGACAGGGTCCCACAACTATGTTGCCCAGGCTTGCCTCAAGCTCCTGGGCTCAAGTGATCCCAGAGTACCCTGGGCTCAGTCGCCCAGAGTAGCTGGGTACTACATGAGCCATTCTTAAACTGTGTTAAGTGTCACTCAGAAATTGATTTGCACCCCCTACGTACCACTGTTCCTGTCCCTGAGGTGGTCAACTTCCCGCACAGTATTAATTGAAAGATTGTTTATGACACTGCCAGGAGTGACGTAAGGGTCAGTTTCAGGGTCAATGTTTGGATAACCTTTCCATGGCTCACCAGGACGAAATTCTGGAAACGGAAATTTAAAATTAGTTCAAAGCTTAATCATCATTTTAAAATCCATTAATAAATATCCAAAACCTTTATTCCTGAATCCTATGCAACTCTCAAATACTTTCCAATTTACACTAATACTCTAAGAGGATGGTTCAGTTAATACAATTAGTATTATAGAAGCTATTCTTTATAAATTACTTGCAAGTTTTTACAACTGAAATCATCTCACTGAATGTGAATATACATACCCACACACACACGTAACATATACACATACGTACTTGTGTGTGTGTTAAAAAATCATATATATGTATGTATGTTTGAGACAGGGTCTTTCTCTATCACCCAGGTTGGAGTGTAGTGGTGCAATCACAGCTCACTGCAGCTTTGAACTCCTGGACTCAAGTGATCTCCCACCTCAGCCTCCCAAAGTGCTGGGATTACAGGCATAAGCCACTGTGCCTGGCTGTGATTCATGTATTTTTTTTTTTTTTTTTTTGAGACAGAGTCTCGCTCTGTTGCCCAGGCTGGAGTGCAGTGGCATGATCTTGGCTCACTGCGAGCTCCGCCTCCTGTGTTCACGCCACTCTCCTGCCTCAGCCTCCCGAGTAGCTGGGACTACGGGCACACACCGCCATACCCGGCTAATTTCTTTTTGCATTTTTAGTAGAGATGGGGTTTCACCGTGTTAGCTAGGACGGTCTCCATCTCCTGGGACCTCGTTACCTGCCCACCTCAGCCTCCCAAAGTGCTAGGATTACAGGCATGAGCCACCGTACCCGCCAGATTCATGTTTATTTTTAAACAGTAACATTTAAAAGTGCTTTAAGCTTTAAGACAAATCACAAAGCTACTGCAACTCAGGTAGGAGAAAGCAGGCCATAGAAGCACTTCTGGTAACTCCTATGTATGAATGAAAATACTGCAAGTTACTCCCTGACACAACTTACGAGAAACAGCGAATTAAAGTTTTTGTTGTTGTTGTCTTGCTCTGTCGCCCAGGCTGGAGTGCAGTGGCGCAATTTCGGCTCACTGCAAGCTCTGCCTCCCGGGTTCACGCCATTCTCCTGCCTCAGCCTCCTGTAGCTGGGACTACAGGCGCCCGCCACCACGCCTGGCTAATTTTTTGTAGTTTTAGTAGAGACGGGGTTTCACCGTGTTAGCCAGCATGGTCTCGATCTCCTGACCTCGTGATCCGCCCGCCTCGGCCTCCCAAAGTGCTGGGATTACTGGCATGTGCCACTGCGCCCAGCCTAAAGTTTTTAATATAATTCTTCATGCTGGTCAATGGGGCTCACTTCTACCTCTGCTGCTTGAGCATAAAGGCATAGGTAACAGGCTGACACACTCACTTGCCCAAGACTTCATGCTTAACTTTTCCTCAATCACTTCTGCATTCCTTCTCATCCGCACACGTCAGTCTAAGCACGCCGATCTGGGCTACATCAGTAGTAAGTCCAGATGTAACAAAACCTTAATGGAAACACAGTCTCATGAAAGAAAGTGTTAGAAAAAATTTTACCTGGTGGCCAATTAACACTGCTAGAGCCGTTAGGCGATTTGGCACGTGGCCAGCCATCTCCTATTGAACCTGGAGGACTGGCTGGTGAAGTACTGCTGTTCATAAAGTCATAGGGAACAAATGGAGACTCTTCCAGCCTGAAACCACTTGAAATAGCACCTAACAAGGGAAGAATAATAGAGAAATGTGAGCAAAATACACACAGATTTATTTCTTATAGCTTTTCAAATGTAGCATGAACACTTTCTATTAGATCTGTGGGCTCTAGGCTGTGTTCTCTAGAGTAACTCTTTTATATTGAGATTCTAACATCGCATTTGAAGAATGTCTGAAAATGATAACTGTGAATTTCATTTTAAGTTTATGAGATGCATAAACATCATTAAGTGACCAGAATATGAGTACAAACTTATTTCCAAATCATTAAAACACTTGTATGGTGGAGGGCTATGATAGCTCAGGGGTTCTTTTCAGGCAATAGAAATGTTTAAAAATGGATTGTGGTGATGGCTACACAACATCATGAATATACTAAAAGACACCGAATTATAAGTAAATTATATCTCAATAAACTGTTAAAAAAGAAAGGATGGGGCCAGGCGTGGTGGCTCATGCCTGTAATCCCAGCACTTTGGGAGGCTGAGGCAGGCAGATCACGAGGTCAAGAGATCGAGACCAACCTGGCCAACATGGTGAAACCCTGTCTCTACTAAAAATACAAAAATTAGCTGGGCATGGTGGCACGCACCTGTAGTCCCAGCTACAGCTACTTGGGAGGCTGAAGCAGGAGAATCGCTTGAACCCGGGAGGCAGAGGTTGCAGTGAGCTGAGATCATGCCACTGCACTCTAGCCTGGGAAGAGGGCAAGACTCCGTCTCCAAAAAAAAAAAAAAAAAGAAAAAAAAAAGAAAAGAAAAAAATGACACCAGAAGGAGTAAATTTGGAAGGGAAAACCAAGTCTCCTCCATTCATGTTGAATTTGAGGTGGATGCAAATAGAACCTCGCTCGCAACTCCAGCCGGCTCCCACTATGAACATCTATAACACACAGCCGGGCCCTGCATGCCACTCCAGCCCCACTCTTTCCTCTGGCTTCAAGTCACAGTGTGCCAGCATCCACATGGGTAACTCAGGGATGATGAAGCTGGTCCCTGACAGGGCCTCACACCTCTCGCTGGTGGGCACTGACCTATCCCTGACTCAGTGTGTCTCCACTGCTTCCATTTCCCCTCTGGCTCTGGCATCCTCAATCTTGTCACTCTGATCTGTGTGAACTATGCATCTGTTCTATAAGCAGAATTAAAGTCACTTGGGAGTGAAATGGGACATAAATGAAGTAATGGCTGTACAGGATACATGAGGAAAGCATAACTGCCACATTTCAAGTGATTAATTCTTACACCTGAGATGATAAACGTAATTATATATTTTTTTCTAGTAAGAACAATTTCCACTTATGAAAACTTCATTTCATCTAAGAGAAACAGATGATATAACGAGGCAGCAAGGGTGCAATTTTATTTCATTAATCAACACAAGGGGAACATCAGCAAAATGAAATGTAAAACCTACGTGACAGGTTCAGTTTAAGCAAACAGAGCTAAATGTACAGTGGAGAATATTTGTCTTGGAGGTAGGGTATCTGATGAGATAGTGATGAAGGCAGTAATGGCAATGATGGCTATGATCTGCTGACCACTGACTGATGTGTCTAACCCTGTTCCAGCACCTAAGTGCCTGAGATGCATCGTCTCATTCATCCTCAAAACATCCCAAGAGGGCCACCATAAAAAAGAATGCGATCATGTCTTTTGCAGCAACATGGATGGAGCTGGGAGCCATTACCCTATGTGAACTAAAGAGAAAATCAAATATTGTATGTTCTCACTTTTAAGTAGGAGCTAACCAATGTATACCCAAAGATGGAAATTATTAATAGGCTCTTGGGACTCCACAAGTGGGGAGGGTGGCAAGGGTTGAAAAACTACTTATCGGGTAAAATGTTCACTATTTGGGCAATGGGCTTACTGGAAGCCCAATCTCCACCAGTATGCAATATATCTCTAGCAGTATGCAATATACCTGTATAAAAACATGAACTTGTACCCCCTGAATCTAAAATAAAACAAGGCAAGGCATGGTGGCTCACGCCTATAATCCCAGCACTTTGGGAGGCCGAAGCAGGTGGATCACTTGAGCTCAGGAATTTGAGACCAGCCTGGGCAACATGGCAAAACTCCATCTCTAATAAAAATACAAAAAACTAGCCAGGCGTGGCAGTGCTCGCCTGTAATCCCAGCTGCTCGGGAGGCTGAGGTGGGGGGGTCATCTGAGTCTGGGAGGTCAAGGCTGCAGTGACCTGAGATTGTGCCACTGCACTCCAGCCTCGGCAACTGGGGTCTCAAAAAAAAAAAAAAAAAAAAAAAAAGCCCAAGAGGTACTATTAATTCCATTTGGCAGATGAGGGACCTCAAGTTCAGAAAGGTTAAGTTACTTGCCAAGTAGCTAATTGCACTCACGTGTCACTTAACAGGGCTACACTTGGAGAAACTAGGCAATTTCATTTTTGTGTGAACATCAGAGTGCCCTTACACAAACCTAGATGGTAGAGCCCACTACACAGCAGAGCCCTATGGCCTAGCCTACTGCTCCTAGGCTACAAACCTACAGTGTGTTACTGTACTGAGTAATGTAGGCAACTGTAACAGAAGGGTGTATCTAAACATAGCTAAACAGGAAAGGTACAATAAAACATGGTATTATAAGCTCAATGGACCCACTACTGGATATATGGCCCATTGTTTACTGAAACATTGCCATTAAGTGGTGCATGACTGGAATAACAGAGTCAATTAGTAGCAGAGCTAGGTCTCGAACCTAGGATTCATATTTATTTTGCCATTTCCCCATTGTCTCAACTCCCTGTTCTCTCTCTTCAGGTCAGAAAAATTCCGGGCTGGGCCTGGTGGCTAACGCCTATAATCTCAGCACTTTGGCAGGCTGAGGCAGGCAGATCACCTGAGTTCAGGAGAACGAGACCAGCCTGGCCAACATGGTGAAACCCTGTCTCTACTAAAATTACAAAAATTAGCCGGGTGTGGTGACACACACCTGTAATCCCAGCTATACTCAGGAGGCTGAGGCACGAGAACCACTTGAATCCCAGAGACGAGGGTTGCAGTGAGCAGAGATTTGCATCACTGCACTCCAGCCTGGGTGACCGAGTGAGACTCTGTCTCAAAAAAAAAAAAAAAAAAAAAAAAAAAAAAAAAAAAAAAAAAAAAAATCCCAAAGTGACATTCCCCTGAACGGCAAACGAACTTAGAATCAAAGGTCTGTTTGGTTTATGGTCTAGCGGTTCCTTCTATTACACGACAATTTTAATTTCTGAAAATCATTAGTCCAATGTGTACAATCTAGAAATCTGACCCTAAAGTTTAGTTAATAAACTTTCAAAGTAAAATTCAATAGAAAAAAAAGAATGTCACAAAAATATCATTTTACTAGCAATCATACATTTGAGGCTGCTTAAGCTAGAATCACCAAGCCCTGTCAATTCCACTTCCTCCACAGCTCCTGGATAATGACTATACTAGATCTACTCCAATTCTCCACACTGCACCCAGAGGCATCATTCGAAAGTGCAAATCTGATCATGTCATCTCCTGGCTTAGTACTCTCCAACATACAAAAGGCAATGTTCAAATTCTTCAAGTTTATAAGGCTCTTAAAATTCTAGCCCCGCTCCATCTCTCATCGTTTCCCCTCCCTTCACCTCTGCCTGCCTGACTTCTGTTTATCTTTCATATCTCAGCTTCAGAGATCACAGGCCTCCTAGAAGCCTTGCCCAACTGCCTCCAACCAAGGCTAAAATAAAAAATCTCCTTCTATACATGTCACCAAATCCGTCTGGGTGCTGAGATGAAGGGATTTTATAAACTGCCTGGAAGTCACAGAATCTTAGGCCCATAGAGTATCTGAGACATCCAGTTTAACCCTTCTGTAATGCAGAACTTCCTAGTCAAATGTCCTTGCCTCCACTCCCCTTAACAAATCAGACTTTTCTTACTGTAGGTGTGCAGTGTGCAGCTAAGGGTTAGCATGGCAGACTGGATTGCACATTCCAAAGTGTGCCAGGACCGTCGCCTGTTCAGCTCCTGTGCTCCTCCAAGCCCATGGACTACTCTGCCAGCTAAGAGTGCCTCTGCATGCCTTACACCTAGGCCACTCTAATGATATGATTTACGGCGAACACCTATTCTTTTCTGCCTGCGACTCGGGTCCGTCCTGTATTTGTCTGACCTCTGAGGGGTCTGTCTGGAGAGGGCTGGAGACTGACTAGCTGATCAGTTATGCAAGTGTTTCAGGCTTACACTGCTGAATGAAAGAATGAGTTAAGTGAGTTACCAAGCTTTTCTGCTTTTAATTTTTGAAACTCTCTTGCAGTGTACTCCCTCTCATGTCCACTGACCTTTCTCTCTCTTACCTAGACTACTTTAAGTCTTAACTGCCTCTAGGCACCCATCATTTTCATGTTTAAAATCATTCTTGGCACAAGTTTTCCATGATTTGCACCACACCTACTATTCCATCTTCATCTACCTCTTTTCTGTCATTTGCACCTTCACCCCCAGATATGCCGAGATACAGAATTCACCAGGCAGTCCTCTTTGAACCCTGCATGCACTATTCTTTCTTGGTTGCTCTTCCTGTTTGTGTGGTAAACTTACTCTTCTCAAGGTAAGTCTTTTTCACCTTTCTAGACCCACCACACCTGCAGTTATTCCTGACTCAATGCTCCTAAGGAACTTGGTATTATTAAACTATTATAAATATTAACTTTGATATTACCTATTATATTGTACTAAAGCTGCTGACATACTTTCGTTCACAATGAACAATTCCAGGGCAAGTAATTTTACGTATATACATACATACATACATTCAACTGTAAGCATGTATGTACATTGTGTCTATGTATTCCAGGTGCTAACATAGCCTTGGAAAGCAGAAGATACTCGATTAATATTTGCTGGGTGAATGGATAATACTAAATAAGATGAAAACGGCATTTCTAAAAAAAATTTAATTGCTGAAAAGACAATACTGTTAAATCCATATGACTTACACATAGCAATAAGCTATATAAAGAAATGTGTCCATATATAAGGAATTGATAGAAATAAAATTATGGGCCAGGTGCAGTAGTTCACACCTGTAATCGCAGCACTTTGGGAGACCAAGGCAGATGGATCACCTGAGGTCAGGAGTTTGAGACCAGCCTGGCCAGCATGATGAAACCCTGTCTCTACTAAAAATACAAAAATTAGCCGGGCATGGTGGCTCAGGCCTGTAATCCCAGCTACTCAGGAGGCTGAGGTAGGAGAACTGCTTGAACCCGGGAGCAGAGTTTTCAGTGAGCTGAGATCATGCCAATGCATTCCAGCCTGGGTGACGGAATGGGACCCTGGTAGAAGTTTTAAATGTCCTAAGAACATATCAAATTAAATCCAGTAAATGTTAATAAGTGTAATAATATAAGAATAAAATCACTTAGAAAAATGTAAAAAGCCAAAGAGAAAATAATTTTTAAACATGTATCATCTGATCTCTCCTTTATAAAACAGAGTAGAGGTAAATTCTGCTTTTCATCTGAAAGTCTCTTATTGTAACTAAGACTTAATAACAACTTTTTTTAAATGAGGAAAAGTTCTAAGATAATTTGGCTTTGAAAACACATTTAAAATAAAATAAAGGCCTAAATCTAGTATTCTGCAGGTGTGTGTGTTTTTTTTTTTTTTTTGGTAAGATGTATCTTTTGTACCATGTTTGCTGGAGTTTTGATCCAAAGATGTGTTCACAGAAATGCTGTCCACTGTCGTCCACTTCCTTAGTCTTGACTGTGGCTCTTTAATACTGTTCATATCCATATTTACATTCAAGTTTGAGTTCAAGCCTGAAAAATTAAAAAACAAAACAAAACCTTAGAAAATACAGCACATTTTCTTTCTAGTAGCACAACTTCTATTTCCTAGAAAAACATGTAACTAATGTTTTCAAACCACATAACTGTTAATACTATAATTTAGTTATACGTAGAAAATATTTCTCCATAAAATTTTGATGATTTATTTAAAACTCCTTGGCAAAATAAGAGGGAGAAAAGTTTTAAGGAAGCCAGATGTATAAGTTTACTTGGAATAAAATGTATCTGTTTAGCTATTTCCCAAGTGTACCTATGCATGAAGATCTGTGGTCACTTTCAGTTGCTATCTTTTGCTTGCAAATTCTAAAGTAAAAATGTCCTGTACTAGCAATTACACCTAGGCTGGGGACAGATATATCTTAAGGCACAATTTACTTGACCTTTGCTGATGAGGCCCCTCAGACTTGGATATTCTCTTGGAACAAGAATGGAAATTTCAACCTTAGATACAGTGGTCAGAAAACTATTAAGCTAGTTTTTCTTAAAAGAGTAATCTAGGGACTATTAATATTAGAATCACCTAAAACGCTTGTTTAAAAATGAAGACTTTCCAGTGGGAGCCAGAATCTTTGTTTCACAATTCCCAAGAGGTTCTTATTCTAAAGTTCCAAATTAAATTGTTTTAAATTCTCTGGTCTGATGAGTCCATGTGATGTTAAGGTCTGTCAAACCTGAAAACTTTAATAATACAAATTCTCTAATACCATGCGTATTTTTGCAGAGAGCAATTAAATTTGCTACTCTTGGACCCATCAATCGGATCAGGAGTTGACAATTTTTTTCTGCAGAGGTTCAGCCGGTATCTCAGGCTCTGTGGGCCACATGGTCCCGGTGTCTCCATGCAACTCTGCTGGTGCAGCACGAAAGCAGCCACAGACCCCAGGTTAGAGAAAATGTGGCTGTGTCCAACAAAACCTTACAACAGCAGGCAGTGGGCCAAATTTGGCCAACAGGCCATAGCCTGTTGCCGAACTTAGATAACTGTATTGGTATTTGCATGGGCTAAGCAGACTTTCTTAATCAAGAAGTATCCCTCACTGAGAAGCTGGCCAGGGCAGGAAATCCTATGCTTAGAACTTATGTGGCCAATTTATATGTCAAGTGTGCAGTCAAATAGGAAGAGCCAGCTCCCTTCACTGATGAGACAAAAACTTCTCCCTGTACTTGGGTATCATTCTTTTACTACTAACTGTTGTCTCTGACATCACCTGGCCACCACTAAATGGCTTCTTCAGTATTCACCCACAGTAGTAACTGACAAGGGAACTGTTTTTGGAAATGCAGAGATCACTAACAATCCTAAGGACTCAAAGTACAATTTATGTCCCAGGTGAGAGTCTGTGGTAATACCAGGCTGAGCCAAACCAGTTCAGTCACAGAGTGAGGCAGCAGCAGGGGCAACAGCATGCCCCAGCCTCTGCCCACAGCCCAGAACAACTAGTTAACTGATGGTCTTCAAACACTCTGGCTAACAACCAGCAAAGCTGGTTTACAAGAAACCACTGTATAGGAAAAGAGAGAGAAAAAAAGCAAAATAAACAGGGCATGAACAATCAATGGTTAAAATATAATCAAGGGCACAAGAAAAAAAGAGACCTAGGAAAGAAACAACATATAAGCTCAAAATCTCTACCCAGTGAATAAAAGCCTGGAGATAACAGAGAAAAAAGAGTGGGTGGGGGTGGGGAGTTGCATGTATAAGAAAGGCAATCTCCTTTCTTACCTCCATTTTTAAATTTATATCAGTAATCATTTATACATAGTTAGACAGTAGTTAAAACTTCAAGTTCTGAGAGCTAGCAAATGTGACTGTGACCATCCCCAGCTGTTTCACCAAAACAGCACTGCTCAAAAATTCTCTGGTGTACTGTTTCTAATAAGAACATCAGCCTTCCTTCCCACCCTTAATATCCTACTTAAGATTAAGACAGCTAGTCCTTTAAAAAGTGAAATGTTTCCTTTATTCTAATGCACTTTAAACGAGTGTGGAGTTTTTGAAATAGTGTGATTTTGAAGGCTGGGCATGGTGGCTCATGCCTGTAATCCCAACACTTTGGGAGGCCAAGGCAGGCAGATCACCTGAGGTCAGGAGTTCCAGACCCACCCGGCCAACATGGTGAAACCCCAAATCTATTAAAATACAAAGATTAGCTGGGCGTGGTGGTGCGCGCCTGTAATCCCAGCTACTCGGGAAGCTGAGGTGCGAGAATCGCTTGAACCCGGGAGGCAGAGGTTGCAGTGAGCCAAGATCTCACCACTGCACTCCACCCTGGGTGACAGAGCAAGACTCTGTCCTAAAAAAAAAAAAAAAGAAAAGGAAAGAAAAGAAAAATCGTGATTTTCTTGAGGAGAGAGACCTTCCCTGAATGTGGAGCAGGTTAAAACTAGGAGAGGGGATGGCAACTCTCTGAGAGGGAACAGCTAAGAGATCAATGTAGCTTTCATGAAGGAACAGAGCTGTAAGGGTACGTGTGAAGGAGGCACGCCTGTGATACCTAAGCATCAGTCCAATACTTGGGCCAAGGAGAAACCCACCTATAGGGAAGTTGCTGAAAGCATTTATTGGTGATGGCCCTTTTTGCAGCTCAGGTGTAGTGTGGGGCATGACATTGTCAAGGAAAGACTTCATGGCTGGCTGATGGAGTGGCTGCTGCTGAGATGGTGGAGTCTGCTGCTTCACCAACAGGTTTGGATCAAGTTGACGAGATTGTTGCATCATTTGCTGCTGCACACTAAGAGGTCGACCCTTAAAACAATGAAATGATTGGAAAAAATTACTGGGGGAAAACGTCTTTACAGAAAACTACATATTCCTCTCCATTTTTGAATTCACTTTCGTCTCAGCAGAAAGGTGAATAATCACTGTATAATGTTCACATAACTCATGGGCAACCAGCAGACTTAATGAAAAACATACTGCATTACATCTTAGTAAGATTGTTTTAAGAAAGACATTTCTGAATCTCTTGCTACAATGGAGATAAGCAGAGTTTATTAACACAAAGACAGCATTGCGAGTTGCAGGGCGGGCTCTACCTGCTGGTCTTGCTGCGGCCGGTTCCCAGAAGGCACGCTTCTCTGACTCTGCGCCCTTTGCTGCTGCGCTAACAATCGCTAGAGGAAAGATAGCGAAAAGGTTGTTACTATCACACCATTACAAAGTGTGTGCTTCCAAATGACGACAGCAGATGGACCTACAGAGGCACGACGTGATCTAGCCAATGCCAACATGTCTAGCATTATCTAGTACCATCTCTTCCTTGGACTCTCTGGTTTCTAGTCACTGCTGAAATTCAGTCTTTAGTTCAATCTAAACTTTCACTTCAACAGAGAAACTTTTCCTAATCATCCTACTAACACTAGCACCCTGGACTTGGCTGAGGTTTCCTCTCACAGCATTCTGCACTTCTTCAAGACATTCTTCACAAATGTTCACGATCTGTCTCCCCCGATAGACTGTAAGCTCCATGAGGACTATGACTACGCCTGTTTTGTTTAGTGCACTATGTCCCGCACAGAGTCTAGTGTTTGGCATACAGTAGATGCTCCATAAATGTGTACTAAGAAAGACTATGACTCTGCTTACCTGTAACTGGGAGATCTGAGAAAGCTGGTTTAGCTGGGATAGCTGGTTCAGCATGGCTACCTGTTGAGGGCCAAAGAGTGGATTCAGGCCACCGTTGTTTGGTGCATACTTCAGCAATGAAACTGGAACCTTAGGATCACAATGGTAAGTTAATGATCTTGATAAAATAACTCACACTAACTACACGTACTGTGTGTTTTCAGTTGTCAATAGAGCAGTTAAATTTGTGGACTATTCATTGGGGGTTATAGTCTTTGTCTCTGTCTTACTAACTGACCACTCACTTACACTTTTTCGTGGGTTAAGTAAAAGATGACAGAGGTGCATCTTAAACTAGTCAATTTTACTTTGCTTTTGTCCTACTCTCAAGAATGTTTTAAAGAAGAAAATGGTAAATTTTGGATTTAAATTATCCTTGACTTTTCCTTACTACAACCTTTTTTAATAGTTAATTCAAAACTAGCTGAATCTCAAAGATGCCAATAAATATGATAATGCTTAGTTAGCCATTTTATTCAAATACAAAATCATGCAAGATCCTTTTTGCAGGTAAACAGGAGAATGTAAGGAAAGCTTATTTACCTGAGGGGAGAGTAATGGAGGAGGCACTTGAGCACGGAGATTAGGCTGAGATGAACTAAGAGGTTGTGCTGGAGGCTGCTGCATGCCCCGGGGTTGTGCTGCTGTGTTTCCAACACCAAACATACTGGGATTGCCATTCTATAAAAACAAACAGCAACAAGTAACAGTGGGATTCTTTAGGGACAAACATCTCATTACCACACTGTACTATGATTTAAACACAGTAACTACATGTAAGAGAGATCTTATTACTAATACAAATCATTCAACTGAGAGCCTAAAATACACATCTGGACTTACCTGTCTAACAGAATTCAAGTTTTGCATACCCAGCCCTGCTATGGAGCCAAGGGCCTGGTTAGGTAGTGCACTATTTGAAGGGGGAAGCTTCATGCTTTGACTGGACATAAACTGCATGTTTTGGGATTCATCTGCTACAATGCCATCCTGATTGGACAGACAGAAAGATGTGCAACACCAGCCAAGCAAACAAGTGGAAGGGAGAAATCATTGCAGGAACAGAAGAGAAGTCACATGACATTCCAGCATCAACAGGAAACAGGTAGAAAACAGAAGAGATCGGATTAGTGTTAATTCTAGAGCACACAAAAAGAGCCAAACATATTTCATGGGATTAAGAAGAAAAATATAAATGCAACCTCTATGATAAATTGAGACATAAAAAGACAGTGAACTTCAAAATCCAGTAATAAGATTTGGTAGTGGATTGTAACACTTTATATTATATAAAAGGTTTTAAAATATTAGTGTGAAAATTACGCTATGAAGTATACTGGTTTATCAAGTCAGAGGTAAAAGTAAAAAACCTTACCTTATCAAAATAAGGATTGCGCTCCATGGAAGACTCTTTGGAAATCTGAGGCCGAGAACCAGGGCCTTTCCCGACCGTTCGATTGTAATCACCAATATTTAGGCTATGTTTATCTATCTCCATTCGTTTGTCTTGTAACATTCCTAATAAAGGCAGGAGACTGTTATCAAACAGGAAGACAACCCAATTGGTTTCAGATAAATTTACAACAAAAGCAAAACACTCACTTTCCAAACTGAAATGACTTCAGCCAAGACAAGGGTATGTGAAAAATACACTTCCATTTCATAAATTTTGCATTCCTCACAAATGAAGTCGCAATTAGGAGATACTGTTATTTTACTGAAATAATTAACTTGAAATAGACTAGTAAACAGAAGGTGGCTGGCTGATAACCTCACTTTTTTTTTCTTTTTTATTTTAGACAGTCTCGCTTTGTGGCCCAGGCTGGAGTGCAGTGGTGGGATCTCGGCTCACTGCAACCTCCACCTCCTAGATTCAAGCAATTCTCATGCCTCAGCCTCTCGAGTAGCTGGGATTACAGGAGTGTACCACTACACCTGACTATTTTTTGTATTATTAGTAGAGATGTAGGTTTCTCCATGTTGGCCCGGCTGGTCTTGAACTCCTGACCTCAAGTGATCCGGCCGCTTCGGCCTCCCAATGTGCTAGGATTACAGGTATGAGCCACCAGGCCCGGCCTCGTTTTAAAAGGACTCTTAGGTTACATAACTTAAGGCACCTTTAGCCATCTCTAATCTGCTGAGTTTTATAATACAGGTAAGTTTCCATTAACAAGTAATAAAAACAATCAACACCCACTGTGATAAACCACCATTTAATAAATGCCTGGTTTATGTCAGTCGCCATTATAAGTGCTTTTTCTTTTCTTTTTTTTTTTGAGAAGGGGTCTCACTCTGTAGCCCAGGCTAGAGTGCAGTGGTGTGATCTTGGCTCACTGGAACCTCTGCCTCCCGGGTTCAAGCAATCCTCCTGCCTCAGCCTCCTGAGCAGCTGGGATTACAGGCACCCACCACCACACCCAGCTAATTTTTTTATTTTCAGTAGAGACAGGGTTTCCCCATGTTGGCCAGGCTGGTCTCAAACTCCTGACCTCAGGTGATCTGCCTGCCTTGGCCTCCCAAAGTGCTGGATTTACAGACGTGAGCCACCGCACCTGGCCTATGAATGCTTTATGTGTACTAATTTAATGTTTGTAACTCTACTGTTATCGCCCTTTTAGCAGATGAGGAAACTGGACACCAGACAGGGTAACATCTTCCCCTCTCTTAGGCTTTGCTCTGTCTGCTCCTCTCCTCATTCTGACTGCTCTGCAATAAAAAATGATCTTCTCTCCTGGAAACTTTTTTCCTGCAAAATCTTTGCTGGATATAGCCAGCTCCGGCCCAAAAGCTACTGCTCTATTTCAACAAATCTTTTAAAAGTGGACAATGCTCTCTACCACCCCTCCTCACCATCTGTCCATTCTGGTTTCTCTTCCTCTACCCATGCTGAGCTCACCTCGGGTGCTTCTTCAATGCTGGGATACTCTGCGGCTGACAAAGTAGACTCAGGGTCTCAGTCTTTTGACTCTCTCTGTAAACTTGCTTTCCTTAGACTTCATTCACTATCAGGGTATCAGCAGTCACTCCCATTCAAGTGATGCCCAAATATAAACATGTTGCTTAGACTTCACAACTGAGCTCAGTCCCACATTTTTACCTGCCTGCTAAAGCACATCCATTTCGATGTCCCATTGTCACTTTTTTTTGAGACAGTGTCTGGCTCTGCTGCCCAGGCTGGAGCGTAGTGGCACAATCTTGGCTCACTGCAGCCTGTGCCTCCCCGGCCCAAGCAATCCTCTCACCTCAGCTTCCTGAGTAGCTGGGCCCAGAGGTATGTACCACCACCCCCAGCTAATTTTTGCATTTTTTTGTAGAGACAAGGCTTCACCATGTTGCCCAAGCGGTCTCCAACTCCTGACCTCAAGTCATCTGTCCACCTCGGCCTCCTGAAGTGCTGGGATCACAGTCATGAGCCACTGTGCCCGGCCTCATTGTCACTGTTAACACAGGTTTTCATCTCCCTATTCCTCATTCTTGACGTTTTCTCAATCCTCAAATCTCATCCATCATTTCTTTGCAACTGCTGTTCTTTGAGATGTCTGCCACCACCATAATACTTACCTTTACTACTCTCATTCCAGGTAAGTGGAAAAGGAAAACAATTCTTAAAGTAGCTAAGAAGTACTGTTCCAGTCATGAATCTGGTATTTAAAAAATCCACCTTTCACAGTTGTTTAAGAGCCCTCTCTTGAATGTCAATAATCCTTACCACAGCTCCCTCCTCTGTTCTCTCTCCCTGTTAAGATGTCATAATTCACTGATAACAACTAAGCTAGCCATTGTGAACTCTTTCCCCCACTCTCTTCATCTAATCCTGTAACCAATTCCAACCAGTTCTCCTAACTCTCTCTCCAAGCTGTTCCTTCTTGATAATTCACATTATTTTTGCCTATGCAAATACCTTTTGAAAGAGTAGTAGCAGCTGAGCACGGTGGCTAACACTTGTAATCTCAGCGCTTTGGGAGGCCGAGGCAGGCAGGAGTTTGCGACCAGTTTGGCCAACACGGTGAAACCCTGTCTCTACTAAAAATACAAAAAATTAGCTGGGCGTGGAGGCAGGAGAATCGCTTGAACCTGGGAGGCAGAGGTTGCAGTGAGCCGAGATTGCGCCACTGCACTCCAGCCTCAGTGAGACTCCAACTCAAAAAAAAAAAAAAAAAAGAGAGTAGCATGTTACATTTTTTCCACAAACCATTCTCCAACACTTCTGCATCCCTTTAAAAAGAAACTCAAATGTGGCAATCTCCCCTCAGTCCACCAGTCCTCCAGTAAGGTCCATTAGTTACCAATGACTACCCCTGAGCCCCACTGTCAAATCCATTCCCTGACAATCAGTTTTTTCTTTTCAAAACTCTGTACTCACTTGGCGTCTGAAAAATTATTCTACTCTAACTTGTCCCACTTCTGCTTAGGATCACTCCCCTAAATGCCATTATTCCCCAGGACTGTCTTCGGTCCATTATCCTCCAACTCTCTCTAGTCAAACTATTCCTATAGCTTACACTATCATCCACATCTAATTAATTACACTTCATATCACCAGCCCCATCTATTCTGAGCTTCACATCCAGATTTTCGACTGTTTACTGGACCAGGTGGTTTTCAGAGCACCTTCAAACGCAGTATCTATCAAGCCTGCTATTCCTGTATTTCTTAACTCAAATAATGACCATTTATTGATTTATTGTCTCTCAGCTCCAAATTCACCCTTTTTGACTGCTCTATGAAAATATATCTGGACTCTTTACATTTTTTCCTTAGCCAGCTGGTACTGAGGCTTTGTCAGAAGAGGGAGCTCGAGAGACAGGGCAAGAGGAAGGGTGTTGCTTCCTGGGCCAGCATGTGGACTTGGTAGGCATGGGCAGCCCTTGCAGCTTCTCCATTGCCTGGTGGGTCAGCAGCACTCTGTGGGAGCTTCTCCCAGCATTCCCCTCCCTCTTACATCACAGTTGTGCTGCAGTGTCTCCGGTGAGATACCTCTCCATGAATGCCTTTTCCCAGGACTCTAGAGGGCAGATTTCCCACAGGTTCCACCAGCACGACATCATAGCAACTTCCGTGCCATTCAGTGAGCCATGAAGGAGGCAGAAACTTGTCCTAACAGGAAAAGGTTCACATTCTGGACACAGATTTTTGTTGCCTGTAAAGCTTCTGTTATCCACAGCCTCACAGGATGCCTTCTCCACTATCGGCACTCTTCACAGCCATCATGTCTTACTGAGGAGCTCATGTCACAGCAGAGGAAATACAGGACTGTGTTCATGCCCATGGAATTAACTGGTCTTACCATATATGCCATTGCCTGAAAGTAGCTAACCAAATTAATAGGCTTACTAAAGAATCAGTTACAAAGCAAGTTGGGAGACAACATCCTAAAAAGGTGGGCATCTGTCGTAGGAGGATGCGGTATGTGTCTCTCCAATTACTAGAATTTGTAAGTTGTGAGAATCAAAAGGTGAAAGTGCGAGCGGCTTCTCTCACAATTATACCTAATGAGCCACTTACAGAACACTCACTTTCTGTTCTGACAACTGCTGATTTAGAGAATTTAGTCCTTGAGAGAGAAAACGCTTCCAACAAAAACCGCAACAATGGCTCCACTGCCCTGGAAGATGAAGACTGCTACAGGGACATTTTGCACTCCTTGAGGTATGAACTAGCAGGCAAACAAACAAACAAACAAACAAAACTAGTCTACTGGCTGGGGTAACTGATGTGATTACGAAATGAAGGCAGTGAAGACTGTCGGGAACCCAGGGGATTCTCTGGGATGCTTCTTAGTATTTCCATACCCAGTAGTGAAGGCCAATGAAAAACAATGGCAACCATAAAAGGCAAGGACAACTGGGGGCTCAGATCCTTTGTGAATGAAGGTTTGGGTTACTTAACTCCACCAGCTAAAGAACCAAGAGCAGCTGAGGTTCAACCTGAAAGTGAGTTAAGTACAGAATAGGCAGTGAAGGGAGGAAGGCACAGATACCAATGATGGCTTACGAGCAATTACAGAAATAACAATGGTAGTAGATTTGCATATTTTCTATTGTTTCTCATATGGATGTGTTAATTTGTATAGGCCAAGCATTTTTTTTCCTGTTTTTACCTTATTCACAAGTTATTACATGTTAGGTTTTATAATTCAGTCTTTAGGTAACAAACTGTGACTGAATTTCTGGGGTGATTATATAGCCAGTGATGAATACAATGACCCTTGGGGCTGTTCATCTCCTCAGTTTAGAGAGAGGATGAACACTTCTTCACTTGCAAGAAAGAAAGCTGTATCTTGTTAAGCAGAAATACAGAGTTGCGTTGCCATTGTACCGGACAAATGCGTGCAGAAGAGTACATATGGAAGGTGAGTAGTCAAAGGGTTGGGATGATCTGTGCGGATGACTGACTTATTTCCTCTAGCTCCAATTTTACCCTTTTGGATTGCTCTGTGAAAAAAAATGGACTTAGGCCCTTTATAGGTTTTTTTCCTTCGCCAGCTAGCACTGACATTTTGTAAATAGAAGGTGCAAGAGGAGAGGTTTGGTTTCTTAGTTCTGGTCTGCTGTCTCCTGCAGCACAGCAGCTTTGCCAGCAACAAGGCACCTACAATGCTCACCTCGCCAGTGGTTGGCAGCATCTACCAGCATGCCCTCTGGTAGCTCCGTAGCGAGTGCCTCCCATGAGACACCTCTCCTGTGCCCTGCCTTCACTGGTATCTTAGAGGGTGGATTTCCTGCACTCCTACTGGCATGGCACCATAGTGAGAGGAAGGGGGTTCTTTCTTGGGCATGCTATGTCAGTCCTCACTGAGTTACTTCCCCTTGTATCTGCTACTGCTACTCCAATTCCTTGTTAAAGTCTTGTATACTACATTTTTCCTGTTAGCAAATTACTGCGTAGTTTCTCCTGACTGGACTCGGATTAACACAATACCATCTACTAAACTGTCCAGGTAAGTTTCCATCACACTCTCTCCCTCATCCTGCCTAACAAATTGGTTCAAACTGGTTATCAATTTTTGTTGATTCCAAGTCCTATGTCTCCATGGAATTAGATTATTTCCATCTACTGTCTTGGTTTGGAGCTTTGAAATAATTACTGGCTACTGCAACAACTATCTACTGGTTTTGCTATCTTCAGTGTCTTTTCTCTATCTCCTGCTGCCAATGTTTTCTATCCTATTTTCAATCTATAATCAAGATGATTTTTCTAAAACATAAATCCAAACCATGTCATTCCCTTGCTTCACTTTAATCCCATATTTTAAGAATAAAGTTCAAATTCCCAAGCTCTTCATGACTCAGCACCGACCTTGTTTTCTAGCATCTTTATCCAGGTGATCTTTCACTACCACCACCACGGCTGCCCCCACCAAAACTGTTTTTCTTGACTCATTCTATGGAATGACTTGCCATTCCTCCAGTATAGTTTTAAGAGTCTGTCATACATCTAGGCCCTTCTACGTGCTGTTCCCTAATCAAGAAGACTATACCCTCCAATCTGAGTAACTCCCTCTTGGCAGGATTATGTGTAAAGTAATCAGACTAATATCACCACTGATCTGCACAGTGGTCCTGCACTTTCAAGGCACATGCACTCATTTAACCACAGCATGTGTACGTCTATTGGAGAGCACAGCCTCCCCTGTCCTGATCTACGTCAGGGCTCTTTCAGTAGAATCATGTCATGGATGTGCGTGTCCCTCAATGAGGAATATAAACAGATTTAATTTTCTCTTACCTCCAGAAAGGTCCATCTTATTGCTTTGTACATTTTCCTCTGGTGAGTCTCTCTGAAGAAAGAAAATGCAGCATGTTAGCAGACCTTAATTTATCAATGAAAACAAATAAAAAATGAAGAATTTTACTGTGTTTCATTATCTGTGAAATTCAAGTGGATCATAAAGCTTCATTTTTCACTGCCTAATGTAATTTTTAAAATGTTTTAAAATAAGACATGTGATTGAAGTTTTTAGCTAAAACCATAAAAATGAAGGTTTGGAGGCCGATTTTACTCTAACATCAAGTACATTCCTAAGGACTCGAAGATGAAAAATAATTCTTAAAAAGAGTGAAATCAAGATAAATCATGGACCACCATTAAAAGAGGAAGGAGCTGCTAAGAAAACATACTTACCGAAAAACTGATGTTTGAAAACTGTTTAACAAATGGATTTATCCACGCTTCTTCTTGTTTGTTTCCACCTTTCATCATTCCCTTTGTAAAATAAAAGAGTAGAAAAGATGCCATGGCCATCTCTGTTTATCTGGGTATAGTGACGGATTAATAAAACTTAAGACAATCCCCAATTCTCATTTTTAGCCAATAATTTCTCCTCCAATCAACTCTTATCAGAGTTGTTAATAATTAAAAATCAACTTATTTGATTTTCAACTTCCTTTGCTCCAGTCCTCTGGTATAGCTGTAATGTACAGAGAAATCTCTAAAGGCAAGCAGTCAGAAGGAAAAGACGGAAGCAAAAGGCCTCGATGACCCACAAATATGAAAACAGGGCCTCTGAGTAACGGAGAACTGTAAGATTAGTTATAATTTAGATTTCTGGAATTCTCACTCCAAACCAAAGTAAAAAAATAGTGACTAGGTTCTAAGGTTAGTCCAAAGAAGCCAACTTAACCCCTAATTTAATTATGCTATATGCATCCTACTGAAAAAACACCATGTGTTTTCCACATGAAAAAGTATTTTAAAATTTCAATTTGTGTTGCCAAGAACACAACATCTCTAGCAGAAGTTGAACCTGGGATTCCTCCTGCTTAGGGCTGGCTCTCTGCGGCTGGTTGGGGTATGGGTGGTACGCAAACTCCATTGAGACATGAGTTAAGAGGATGGAGGGTCTGTGATCAGCAGTCTGGTAGACAAGGAGGCTGGAAGCCATAGAGATCTATGTCTCTCATTATGGTCTCACTGGACCATTCTCAGTCTGTTGCCTTCATTACTTCATTACCCCTTCCCATTGCTACTGTCCATTCCTTCTGACTGTGGAACAGAACACAGCTTCACAACTTCCCCCCAAATGCAGGTCTCTGAAGCAAGCATCTAACTCTCTCCGCAGATTCTGAAGTTGGCTTTGATCCCTTTTCCTTTCACCCCATCCATCCCCATACCTAACTAGTTGCCAAGTTCTTCTGTCCTTTCTATTCTGACTGAAATGCCTCTCAAATTAGTCCCTTCCACTATATATCCATTCTTATTTCCCAACTCAAGCTGTCCTTTCTAGCTTGAATTAACGCAGATGCTCCCTGAGATCCCTAACTGTGGTCTCCCCTCTGCACCAATTTATATTTCATACTATCACTGATTAGCTTTCTTTTAAAATTAGTAATTTAAAAACCCCACTGATGTTGTTTTCTACTCAATTTCGTTGGTTCCATATTTTACACAAAATAAAGTTCAAATTCCTTGGCATGCTACTGAAGACACTACAATCTGCCTCAACTACAGAGCCAGATCTCTTGTCACTTCTTCCTAAAAATTCTACATTTTGGTTATGTTGGGCTACTATCTTCCTTAACACATCCCATCCCAAGCATCTTCCAAATTCAAGCTGACACTTCTATGAAGCTCTCCTAATGCCCCATACTAGACTGTGAGCTCCCGAAAGGTGAAACTCATATCTTAGTGTATTTGAATCCCCAGCACCAAGCACAGTACCTGGCACACAGCAGAGGCTAAATAAATGTTTGCAGTTGCTTTCTAAAGATTTTTACTAGTAGAAACAAAGGAGAAAGAGTAAAAAGGCTACACACCCTTTCCCTTCTCCTTTTTTTGCCACTCAGACCCTGTAAGGAAAGACAAAGTCACAAAACAGCATGGTCCAGTGGGAAGAACATGGGGTTTGGAACTGGAAGACCTAAACTTAAGTCCTTACTCTGTCGCTTACTAGTTATCGCAACTTTGGGCAAGTCACCACCTTTTCCAGTCTCAAATTCATCAGTGTCCTATCTTAGATGGTTGTGAGGATCAAATGACTTATGTAAAACATGTAAAAGCACTTCATAAGCTATATGGCAAGGCAATAGGCAAATTCAGCCAAATGAAAAATTTTAAAAATGAAAATGGCAGGTCCTAGACTTAGAATCCCAGGATTAAAAGTGAGGAACCTTGGCAGTTACCTAGTCCAGCTATCCACTGGTATCTGACTTCTAAGGTCCCTCAAAAGGTAATCATTCTCAAGTAGGGTGGGTTAGGATGTTATGTTAGAACCACCTGGGGGACTGGGCACATATTTTGAAAATGGTCCCCAGGAGGATCTGACAGCAGCCCCCAGTGCCACCTCTTAAGAACCAGTGCTCTAAATCAGTGCTTCCCAAACCTGGCTCTGCATCAGAGACATTTGAGGAGTTTCTTTAGGATAAGAAACTTGGTCCAATTTCCAAAACTTCAGTAGACCTGAGGTACAGGAAGCTGCATTTTTAACAAATGCCATGGGATTTCGATGTACAGCCAGCTTTAGGAATATGATTTGTCCACACATAAAAGCAAAACCAAGCTCAGATCATTCCTAGGGATTTTTGTCACAGGACCTTTTGGGATGGGATAGGGACAAACATGACAGGTGAATAAGGAGGATGGTGACTCTGGGTAAGCGGGTGGCGGGGGACTCCAGGTGAGGAAATGAAATGGGAGATGAACTGGCAGTGGGATGGAAAGAGTCAACATGGAGATTTGCCCTCCTCTTCATCCTCACCACTGCAGGCACCACCCTAGGATGAGGGGTTGTCCCAGGCAGCACTGGTGGAGGGGGAGGAAGAGAGAAATCCCAAGCTGTAGCAGTGGGGAGAAAGGAAGTTCCTGTGGTCTTTCTTATGTTTCTCTAGGTGGCTGCCCATACAAGTGGCTATACCTAAGGTGGGGGCTGCCTGGACTGTACTGACCGCCAGAAATGGGCAGGCGAAAAGTTAATTTTCTGTGGGTAAACTACCTTTGGAATTTAAAGTTTCAAGGGCTTTGCCCTTGAAATGTTTACCTTCGATGACATTTTCTTTGTATATGGTGGCCAATTTAAAGATGAGTTAAGCTCTTGAGATGAATTACTATTCCACATTCCAATCTCCACATCCTCTTCCTCTTCCCAGCCAGTGGGGCGATTTCCAGGCAATGGCATATCATCACCACACCAGCCATCTTGCATAGATTTTGGCCCTGATTGTGGATTTGTGATATAAAGAGAAACATACTTTAATAAAAGAATTCCTTCTGGAGAATAAGTATATATTAAAAATTGGGTAGAGAACCTAAGAAAACACACACGTGCACACTTATTTCCCTTCCTGCATCTGCACAGAAGGAAAGTATGTTTTATACTGAGCTAAACCTTCCATGAAAAATAATATATTCTTATTTAAAAATTTAATAAAACTCCTCCATGCCTTTAACAAATCATAGTTCTTGAACATGGACAATGGTAGCACTCTTGTTTGTACCCACTTAATAATCTGCATAGTGATGCACAGGACAAAGAAGATGAATGAAATTTGAAAGAATTAATTTTTATATATATTTTTAGGGAGAATGGCCAGAGAGTATTCAAAGCCTTAAGCAGAAAGCATCTTATCTTCACACATGGCCCTTGGGATTCCTACCGGGCATCTTGTACACAGCCTATGGGATAATGACAATGTTAATTTCAATCTTGGGTCTTTTCTGAACTATGCTAATTGTAACTTTCAGGGAATCATCTGACAGTCTGAATATGTGTCCTCATGGCTACACTAGTTGGCCTCTCAGGCTGGATGGCATGAAAGTTGCTAGTAGACTCTTCCTAGATAACCTAATTTGGTAAAATATAATTTAGATTTGATGAAGTATATGCAAATGAATAGTTACAGTTCTAAGAAATATGAGAAAAGAGGAAAATTCAGAAAGAGAATAAACCACGTTACAAAATCAAAGAGCAAAATACTGAACATCATCTATCATGTTACATTATATGAATATATTATAAATAACATAGAAACCTTATCTAATTATTTAATTATAGTCAGTGAGTGTTCGCCACTGCTACATAACAGCTACCAGGCATTGTCAATAACTTACCAGATTTGCTTAATGCTTGTGGACCAACAGAGCTGGAGCCCCACGTGGATGTGCTGGATGCCGCAGCAATGGGTTCCCCCCAGCTGGGACCACTGTCTATGGGCTTACCCCATGCTGAAGTACCATTATCCACAGTTGTGGCTGGAGTAGAAGGCTCCCCCCAGGGCTCACCCCAGCCTTTAGAAAGTGTGGGAAAAGAAGTCATCAGCATAGAAGGTAAGGAGGTGCAGTGGAATAAGGGACAATAAAGAAAACTTAGGGACCAAGGATGAAGAACTTCATGTTTATGTACTGAATAATGATACTGTGATAGGCAAAAAGATGGCATCTGTTTTATGTTAAAAAAAGACAAACTATTTCCCATTAATATAAGGTGAGAATTTTTTTAACTTTTTTCATAATTACCCTCTAGACCTAGAGCTGATTTTTGCATAGTTATGGAAAACCACTCTCCTTTGAGCATCAGTTTAATTCCTGAAAAAGTCAAGTCATTCTAAACCAAACCTTGTAAATTGGAGCAGGTGATAAGCTGGGTGACAGTGTATGTATAACATCTGTACCAGCTGGGTACAGTGGCTGATGCCTGTAATCCCAGCACTTTGGGAGGCTGAGGCAGGTGGATCACCTGAGGTCAGGATTTTGAGACCAGCCTGGGCAACATGGCAAAACCTGGTCTCTACTAAAAATACAAAGATTAGCTGGGCGTGGTGGCACACACCTGTAGTCCCAGCTACTCAGGAGGCTGAGACAGGAGAATTGCTTGAACCTGGGAGGTGGAGGCTGCAGTGAACCGAGATCATGCCACTGCACTTCAGCCTGGGTGACGGAGAAAGCCTCCATCTCCAAAAAAAAAAAAAAAAAAAATTGTGCCACAAGTGTACCCCTTCCACACCACCTACACTGGAAAAACAATTTACTACCCAGCTAACAATAATGGGTCACCTACTTTTTACATATGCTGAACAATGCTTATTTTAAAATCTGAAGTATTAGGCTGAGGTTGTCCAAAGCAAAAAAAAAAAAAAAAAAAAAAAAAGCCATAAATGTTTCATTAAAAAAAATCAAAGCCAACAGGCTTCATCTTAGATACATACTTCTTCCTTTTAAGAATCAAACCTAAATTAATACAACAAACTATACTTAGACTAAAAAAAAAAAATTCAGTGCCAAAAAGTTAGCTCATGAAAGCACTCCCATATCCACTTCCAATGAGACTATTAAGTCAATAAAACTTTTATTAACAAAGACAATGTAGCCAATCACACTTAACAAAAATGTTGTTGGGAAAATTTGCAGAGATAGGAATTAGTTCATTATTAGAGAGGAAAGTAAGGATATACTAGAAAGGTATTGTCAAATGTTTTAAATACACAAACATATATACTGTATCTAAGTAGAGTTGGATTTCTCACCTACTTAAAAAAAAAAATCCCTTCTAAAGCCAAATATACAACCTAATGTTTAGAGAGTACTGTATTTATGAGATACTTGTTTTATTTCTGGAGATATTTTAGTCAAATAATAAAACCACAAGTTAAGGCCTAACTCAAAAACAACTTGGAGAAGTGTACAGCATTCCCACTTGACCGCCTTTGTCCAATTCGCCTTCTCTTGCATTTCTAATAGAGAATGAAGTGTGCAGGACTCAAACAACACTGCCAAAAGTGGAGTTCTGTTCTCTGGTGGTAAACATCACCCCTATAATTTTTTTCAAGCTGCTTCTGGATTACAGTAAGAACAGCCTTTGTGTGCATATCCAAGTACTTTGTTATACAAATCTTATAATAACAGTAAGTTAAAACAAGGCTTGATTTCATAAAATAGAAACTTACCAGAGCCACTGCTTGCCTCTTTGTTTGAGATGGCACTTGCAGGCGTTAGCAGCTGATGTACCTGTGCTTGCTGGTCTGAACGGCTGTTGCCATTTGGGACGTTTTTGTTCCACATGTTCACATTTTTGTAGTTGTATTTGCTTGGATCTCCCCAAGCTGAAGTTCCATCATCAATCTCCATTTTGCGACGTATAGATTCTGGGGATGGTTCCTCCCAGCCTGTGGGTTCTTCTTCTTTTGCTGGGGCTGGTATAGGTCCCCCCAGCCAGCCTGTACCAGGAGGTTTGCCTGTAGCTGGTGGGATTCCCCAAGATCCAACAATGTCTTGTTGCTTGTTCCAGTCTGGAGAGCTGACTGGCTTTGACGAATCTCCCCAACCTAGAGACTGATTAGACTTTGGAGGGTCTCCCCATCCCTGGGAAGGAGTAGGTTTAGAAGATTCATCCCATCCTGATGAATTATTTGGATTTATGTTGTTTCCCCAAGTGAAAGAACTAGTTTTACCAAGTTCGTTCCAACCGGAAACGGACCTGTCACTGTCACTACCTCCTGAGCTGGATTTCTTATTGGCCTCACCCCAATGGTTATTCCTTGAAGTTTCTCCCCAGTTATCACTGGCAGAAACAGACCACCCTTGGCTTGATTTTTGTCCATCACCCCATCCCTGTTTATTCTTTTGCGAGTCATTCCATGCAGCCTTCTCCTCTTTGCAATTCCCCCACTGATTGCTCTTGACCATTCCTGTAGCAGCAGAATCATCTTCCCACCCCCCCTGGCAGTTTGAGCCTTTGGAATCTCCCCACCTCAGAGCAGGTTTGGGATCGCCCCACCCTGATACAGATGAGGTATCATTACCATTAGGGCTAGTCTTATCTATACATGCCCCTGAGTTAAAAGTCTGTGTTGCAGAGCTTCCCCAGGCCTCTGTCCCATTGTCAGTCTTTCGTTCCCCTCTAGGTGATGTTTCTGTATCCCAGGCAGTATTCTGCTTAATAGGAGTCTGTCCCCAACCAGAGTTGGACAGGACACGTGGATCTAAGTCAGTTCTGTTTACAATGCTTTGGAGTAATGTGTGCTGATCAATTTTTCTTCTGTCTCTACTCTGACTTTCCCCAGTTCCTTTTTCCTCAAGGCGTCCAGTGCTTTCTGTACTACCATCGCTCTCCACTGTACCTCCTGTTTTGGCCCACACACTGCTTTGCTCATTTGTCTGAGATGTGGCAGAACCCTGATCCTCTTCCTCAGTAGATTTCCATCCATTTGTAAACGTCTTACCATTGCCATTTGCACTATCATTGGAATGCTGATTGCTAGGCAGTTTGTTCCACTCAACGCTGGGTAAATTAGTGCCAGTGTTTTGTGCAGGGGTTCCCCATCCTCTTCGACTTCCTCCAGAATTTGCGCCATTTCCACTTCCCCATGATGTACTCTGGGAGTTTGCTGCACCAGATTCCCACACACCACCTCCTTTGTTTGTGTTAACTTGAAAGTTAGTGCCCATAGGACCATTTACGCCAGGCTGCATTAGAGTTGCATTCACAGTGTCACCATTAGCTTGGCCATTAGGGCCTGAACATTTGTCTCCAGAGTAATTAGAACCATAGGCACCCCATGTAGTACCATAAGAGCCTCCACTTTTTGACTCTCCATTGCTAAGGTGAGAAAGGGAAGTGCCATTCATACCTGATGGAGCCTGCATCTGAGGATGATTCATTGTGCTCACACGCCAGGCCCCTGTGTTACTACTAGGCAGCTCATTATTCTGCACTGAACCGGAGTTTGGTAAACTAGAGGTCATAAAGTTAGTAGTGTTATTTGGTCCAGTCATTTCAGTGGTAATATTTTGAGGTTGACCACTGAATGAAACCTTCTGTGTACCACTTACTTCAGATTCACAAGTTTCCTGAAGGCTTCCCCAGGTACCATGGGTAGAACCACCACTCACTTTAGAGTTAATACTCTGATTGTTAGGCATCTGGCCTATAGTACTGCACTGAATATTAATGCCAGAACTACCACTCCCTACAGGCCCTTTTAGGGCAAGTCCATTGTTCTCTAATACTGGCCAGGCACCATGGTTGCTAGCTGAATTCAAAGTGCTTGGATTTAACCCTCCATTTGATGAAGAACTTACAGTGCCCCAAGCATTCATTCTATTGTTGCTACTTTCAGATTTGCTTTCAGGAGCATCCACAGAGACCTGACATGTGCTTATTATGGCTCCATGGGAAAAACCCCATGGCCCAGTACTACTTCCATGGCCCACATTATTGCTGCTGCTACCAACTACAAACTTGTTTTGGGAACCAAGTCCAGTGCTATTCCGAAGGCCATCTTTTTCACCACCTGTGTTCCCTGAAGCCATGATAGTGATGTTTCTCTCTGATTCAGAACTGGAGGCAGAATCAGCATCCATACATTCTGAAGCCAACTCCGGATCACTGCCAGGGGCTGAGGGCCATGCTTCTTTTTCCGACAAGTCACTTACAACAGCATTCTTACAGTTTGTGCTAGAATCACTTGTAGAAGACACAGGTCCCCGCTGGGAATTTTCATAATGGGATCCTGAAGTACTGTGGTTTATATCTAGGATAAAGGAGAAGTACAACTATTTATAAAGTGTTAGGCCATTTCAAAATGATACTAAAATCTAAGAAAAATGACGAATATGTTATAAATATATGTGGCTCCTCAATTTAACAAGCTATGATCCTTGGCAGAATGGTGACAAGGGCACTGGTTATCTTCTAGCCACCAACTTTCTATGTTCAACTGATACTATCCTAAGATCCTAGAGGACATAACAGCCCCTTGATAAATACTTGCTGAATGAATACATTGTTAACATATCGGTAAATAAAAGAATTTTGGGCCGGGCGTGGTGGCTCACGCTTGTAATCCCAGCACTCTGGAAGGCCGAGGTGGGTGGATCACGAGGTCAGGAGATCAAGAACATCCTGGCTAACATGGTGAAACCCCATCTCTACCAAAAATACAAAAAATTAGCCGGGCATGGTGGTGGGCGCCTGTAGTCCCAGCTACTCGGGAGGCTGAGGCAGGAGAATGGCATGAACCCGGGAGGCGGAGCTTGCAGTGAGCGGAGATAGTGCCACTGCACTCCAGCCTGGGTGACAGAGCGAGACTCCGTCTCAAAAAAAAAAAAAAAAAAGAATTTTGGAGTCAAGAAGGTCTAGGAGGCAGCTACGCATTAGGATAACGGAACAACCCAGGCATAGAAGCCTGACATGGAAAGACAGGTAAGGAGAAGTGAATAGCCAAAATTTGATAAAATGTATCAGAAATATTTTTCCACCCTCTGTTTTCTAGTATAGCTTTTCCACACAACTGTTTTGAGTATTGTAACAAGTTTATAAAAATTTATAAGAATGGTAAGAATTGGAAAGCTTTTATCATTACATTCTATTTCATTAGTGTCCGTATTCAACCTGAAATATTACAGCCAAGTAACAGTATTTTCAGTTCAACTTCCTCTCATAAAATTTTCTTAATTTACCTTCCTAACCACATTTATATAAAAGAACAGAAAAGTAATGGTTAGTTATGTTGAAGATCACAGAATTATTATGATCTCAAAAAATCAAATGCTGACACTGGAGATGTTTAATGACCAGTCATACAATCCTATAATCTTGGACTTCCTGCTATGTATTACTATTTAGTTATTTTACCACAGGTAGGGCAGTTCTAGTGCTTCTGAATAGTTCCCCAGATTCTTAACTCTCACTTGGTCTAAGGATCTGGTAGGCAGACACTCCTCAGGGCCATTAACCTGCATAAGTCACGTGCATTCTGACTGTCTTGAGGAGGTACATTATATTGCAGTTTTCTACTAGAGTACAAATCAGAATCACACGTAGTGCTTTTAAGTATATATCTTCAAGGCAGTGTCCCAGACCTAATGAGCCAACCTTCAGGGGTTGTAGGCCTAGGAGATAAAAAGAAGTCACTATTAAGGTGATTTGCTAAAATGGAAAATCAGATTCAATTTGCATCATTTGCTCTCAAAGCACAATCATTAAGAAGCAAAAGAAGATCTGGAAACAGTCTGGAAAAGTGACTGGAGAGAGACCGGAAATGATATAAATGCATCAAATAATATACTTCAAAGTTCCATAAGTGACTCTAATTTCCACTCCCTGTTTAAGAATCATTTCTTTAATGATTCCTAAAGCTGCCAAAGAAGATTTGCCATCTTTCAGTGCCCATAAGGAGAATTTCTCATGAAATAAAGGGTAACAATAAGTCAGTCTCATTGGGTGTAAGCAAACCAACACACTAACATCTGCACCAGCACCATCAACAAATGTTTGGCATTCAGTACTATGTCTGACAACTTTGTGCGCACTTTTATCACTGAATCCTTAGAGCCACACTAGAGGATAGGTATTACCTTCACTTGCAGATGACAAAACTGAGGTTCACAGGTTAATTTATGGAAAATTAAGTGAGAAAGGCAGGATTCGTCAGAATCCTTCATAAAGCAAGGTGCCTAAGAATGTAGACAGGACTCTAGAAACACCAAGATTCAAGTCTGGACTCTGTATGACCAAATCTGCAAAACCAGAAGATAAACAATACTTCTTAACCTGGTTCTTTTGTTAATTTTATCATCATATGTAAAGCATTAAGCTCAGTGCTGGCTGCAAATAAGTGCCTCGTTAGGGTCAATTTGATGTAGTGATTAACAGCACAGATTGGGTAGCCAGAATGCTTGGGTTTAAGAGGCACTCTACCATTTACTAGCTGTGTGACCATGGCAAGATCCTCAATCTCTGTGCCTAGTTTCATCTCTAAAGTAGAAACAGTATTAGTACCAGGCCGGGCGCCGTGGCTTATGCCTGTAATCTCAACACTTTGGGAGGCCAAGGCGAGGGGATCACGAGGTCTGGAGTTTGAGACCATCCTGGCCAACATGGTGAAACCCTGTCTCTACTAAAAATACAAAAAATGAGCCGGACGTGGTGGCAGGCGCCTGCAGTCCCAGCTACTCAGGAGGCTGAGGCAGAATTGCTTAAACCGCGGAGGCAGAGGCTGTTGCCGTGAGCCGAGATGGCGCCACTGCACTCCAGCCTGGCAACAGAGTGAGACTCCATCTCAAAACACAAAAACAACAACAAAAACGAAACAGTATTAGTACCAATCTCACACAACTGTGGTGCAGATTATTAAAAGTACTCTGTACTGGCCAGGCGTGATGGTTCACGCCTGTAATCCCAGCATTTTAGGGAGCCGAGGCGGGAGGATCACGAAGTCAGCAGATCGAGACCATCCTGGCTAACACGGAGAAAGCCCATCTCTACAAAAAAATTAGCTGGGCGTGGTGGTGGGTGCCTGCAGTCCCAGCTACTCGGGAGGCTGAGGCAGAATGGCATGAACCTGGGAAGCAGAGCTTGCAGTGAGCCAAGATCGTGCCACTGCACTCCAGCCTGGGCAACAAAGCAAGACTCCGTCTCAAAAAAAACAAAACAAAACAAAACAAAACAACAACAACAACAAAAAAAAACAAAAAAGGACTCTGAACTATATCTGATCCATATTAGGTGCTTAATAAATGAGGGCCATTATTATCATTGATAAATGCATGCTAATGATTATCATCTTTTAGTCCTATCTCCAAAGCATGTTTTTCATTCCACCATGTCTCCCTTATAAAGAACAAAATGAGAAATCATATAACTTCCTTACTTAAAATTTCCACTTAGATATCTTTAGCAGAATCTTCAGATTCCAGATTTACACTCCAACAGAGTATAAATTGCTCTCCTCCCAAACGGGGCAAAAACTGCTTCTTTACAAGTTTTTCTCATCTCAGTAAGTTTCCTAACACCTAGAATTTATCTTTTATTCCTCCCTGTGCACAGCAAATCCAAAACATCATCAAGTCCAAAATCCATACATCTTTTTTCCAAATCTAAGACAGTCCAGCCCTTGTCACTGTCTTTTCCTGGACTACTACAAACGTATTTCTGCTGCCACTATTTGCGTGCGTTAAGTGTGTGTGGCCACTTTCACAAGGCAGGAGTAAGAAAACAAGATTGGCCATCGAAAACAAAACTACCCAAATGGAAAATAAAGAAATGGATCCAGAATTCAAGAGGGAAACACCAGAAGCATTCCCATAATGACAAGAAAAAGACAAAAATACTTGTCATCAATACTACTATTTGGTCCAGTTTTAGAAGTAGTAACTGATAAAATATGACTCAAAAATGAGAGGTAAAAATAATAGAATAGAGGCAAAAAAGATCAACATGAAAAAACAATTTCCTTTCTATATGCCAAAAATAATCCAGGAGAAAATGTTGATGGGAAAAGATCTTAATCATTAACAGCCATAAAGTAACAGGAATAAAGCTAGCAAAAATATTTAAAGTCATATATGATTATATTTTATTGCTGGCTATAGAAGACACTTGAAAGTGAAGAAACTTGTTCCTGGATATGAAGGTGTAACAATGCTCTAAGTTTAATTCAGTTATAAGAAATTGTTAACAAGAGTCTGCAAAATGATTACAAGTGATTTAAAAATTCTGTAAAGCAAGTGGGGAAGTAACCCTCTAAAAAATTTCAAAAAGAAGAGGTTGTGAAGAAGGGAATCTGCATTATCAGGAAATAGTTGAACAGCACTGCATTGCCAGAGAGCACTTTGACTGAACAGAAAAAGTAACCCAGAAACAGATCCAAGTATATGTCAAAGATACTATTTCAAGGATTAGCATTTTAAATCAGTGGAGAAAGGGAATATTCAGTACTTGAAAACTTTTTAAAATGAGATAATAAATAAAAATAATCCCAAATGATTAAAACATTAAAAGTAAAAGACGAAATCATGAAGCTATCAGTGAATAAGTATTTTTATACATAAACCATACGTGGCAGATTTCACTTGTTAATGTTAGAATACATCAAAAGCAAAGCAAAAAAGCAAACGCCTGAATATATTCTGCAAATGAGTTCTATCACCTTTAATGTTAGTGAAAAATGTTCTCAGATTCTGGTCATGACCCGGTTTGGTGGCTAAGTTTGTCTTTTAAAATATTATTAACTAAAATCCCATTTTTAATCTAGAAGCCACTTGATCAAAACCTAAAGATTATTTTAAAAATTGGGTTACCAATGGTGAGTTACAAGGTATTCTGGGTTGTAAAAAAGGTTGTAGTTTAGGAAAAAAAATTCGTTTGGCATTCTAGCTCATGCCTGTAATCCCAGCACTTTGGGAGGCCAAGGCGGGAATATTGGTTGGGTCCAGAAGTGAGACTATCCTGGGCAACCCTGCAACACCCCATCTCTACAAAAAATAAAAAAATCAGCTGGGTGTAGTAGCATATACCTGGGGTCCCAGCTCCTTAAGAGGCTGAGGCAGAAAGATCACTTGAGCCTGGGAGGTTGAGGCTGTAGTGAGTTGTGATTGCACCACTGCACTCAGCCTAGGAGACAGAGCTACAGCCTCTCTCAAAATGAATAAATAAACAAATAAAAATCAATAAAAAGTGTTGGCTGGGCACAGTGGCTCACTCCTATAATCTCAGCACCTTGAGAGGCCGAGGCGGGAGGATCAACTGAGGTCAAGAGCCTGGGGCCAGCCTGGCCAACAGGGTGAAACACCATCTCTACTAAAAATACAAAAATTAACCGGGTGTGGTAACAGGCCCCAATAATCCCAGCTACTCAGGAGCCTGAGGAAGGAGAATCATTTGAACCCAGGAGGTGGAGGTTGCAGTGAGTCGAGATCGCACCACTGCACTCCAGCCTGGGCATTATGTAAGAGCGAAACTCCATCTCAAAACAACAACAACAAAAACAAAATGTGTTGCAGGGGATGGGAAAAGACGCTATTAAAACTGAAAGGATGAAAAGAACAGGACTCCTCAGGTATAACTAATATGTTTCAGAGTCAGAGATTATTTCAGATTTGGAAGAAGTCAAATAATTTATTTCACTTAAAGACACACAAGACCCAGTGTTGTAAATGATCTGGAAGATAAACATAGAGGAACATCATTAAGTAGAGTATTATCACTCAGCTTTCCAGGAAATAATGAGAAATAGTTAATCTCTGTGCTAGTAGGAAGAAAGGGAGCGGCTGAGTTTTACTGAGTGTAATGCAAAATGTTTATACGCTGCAATGCTGTAGGCAAACTTAAGATTTGGAAGGTTGCGCGTTATTTAGAAATATTTGAAATCTAAAGCATCATTAACATCCTACTTTCATACAAAATGCCCACAGAAGTGTGATCACCTACAGTACCACACTCAAAAAAAAAAAAAATTGTACATAATAGAACATCTATCCAAAAAAGATCAAAGAGGTTATGTGGGGGCTGAACGAAGACTGGTGATAATTCTAGCGACATAAAAAAACAGCATCAGCTGGGCGCAGTGGCTCATGCCTGTAATCCCAGCACTTTGGGAGGCCGAGGTGGGCATATTACCTGAGGTCAGGAGTTCGAGACCAGCCTGGCCAACATAGTGAAATCCCATCTCTACTAAAAATACAAAAATTAGCTGGGCATGGTGGTGGACGCTTATAATCTCAGCTACTCAGGAGGCTGAAGCAGGAGAATTGCTTGAACCCAGGAGGCGGAGGTTGCAGTGAGCAGAGATCGCACCACTGCACTCCAACCTGGGCAACAGAGCGAGACTGTTTGAAAAAAAAAAGAAAAGAAACAGCATCACTTATTCAGGAAGAATTTAGATCCATGGACCTTCAAATATTTTTCTTCTAAATATACAGCATCTAACAAACAAAACAGTTAAATATTTATTTTCTGCCTTAAAGACTTTCAATTTTGCCAGAAAGGGAAGAGCTTCGAAAGTAAATAATATTTATGTTTTACAATGTTTCCAAGGAGTATGAGAGAGATGGTACCATTGGGAATACGAGAGAACCTTAGATGTACAGTTTCAAATCACTCTTTTTTTTGTCAGACGGAGTCTTGCTCTGTCGCCCAGGCTGGAGTGCAGTGGCGCGATCTCGGCTCACTGTAAGCTCTGCCTCCCGGGTTCCCTGCCTCAGCCTCCCGAGTAGCTGGGACTACAGGAGCCCGCCACCACGCCTGGCTAATTTTGTTTTTTGTATTTTTAGTAGAGAGGGGGTTTCACCCTGTTAGCCAGGATGCTCTAGATCTCCTGACCTTGTGATCCGCCCACCTCAGCCTCCCAAAGCACTGGGATTACAGGCATGAGCCACCACGCCCGGCCTCAAATCACTCTTACGTACAAAATTCAAAATGTCTCATCTGGTTATTCTTGCCTTTGGTTCAGGGGTTGGCAAACTTGTTCTATACAGGTCCAGTTAAACATTTTAGGCCTTGCGAGCCAGATGGTCTGTGAAAACTATTTAACTCTGCCATTGTAGCTTGAAAGCAGCCCAGACGACATGTAAATGAATGGGTGTAGGTACCTCCCAAAAAAGCTGGACTAAAATAGGCCCAGATCTCTGTTCCAGAATAAAAAAGACAAATGCAATATCACAACCAAATGCAATGCATGAATCATGACTGGCTTCCGGTTTGAGAGATGGGGTGAAAGTGGTAGGGAGATGGATATAAAAGACATCCTTGGGGATGTTGCTCTAGACCAGATGGTGAACACCTCAACCAGGGCAACTTGTTGCAACTGATGGCAGTATCAAAGGGAGATGGGAAAAGTGGGAGGCATTTAAGAGTTAAAATTGGCCGGGCGCGGTGGCTCACGCCTGTAATCCCAGCACTTTGGGAGGCCGAGGCGGGCAGATCACAAGGTCAGGAGATGGAGACCACCCTGGCTAACATGGTGAAACCCCATCTCAACTAAAAATACAAAAAATTAGCCGGGCATGGTGGCGGGCGCCTGTAGTCCCAGCTACTCGGGAGGCTGAGGCAGGAGAATGGTGTGAACCTGGGAAGCAGAGCTTGCAGTGAGCCGAGATCGTGCCACTGCACTCCAGCCTGGGCAACAGCGAGACTCCATCTCAAAAAAAAAAAAAAAGAGTTAAAATCAGCAGAGTACAGTAACCCACTGGCCTGTGAGACATATAGGAGAGGGAAGAGTAAAGCATGATTTCAAGGTTTCTAGATGGGTGGTTGGATGAATGGGGGTGGCAACTATTTGAGCAAAGGAACGCAGGAGGAGGAAGTGGTACGGGGCAACACAAAGAGTTCAAGTTTGGACATACTGAGTTTTGAGGGGCCCAACATCAGCTGAAGACTTCCAGAAGAGGACCTAAAATGTGGCGAGATCTGAAACAAAGCCTTGGGAGGGAACAAAAAGGTTTGCATTTGACATTCAGAAGATCAGTGACTTCAGCAATAGAGTTATTTTAGTCAAGTGAGCAGAAGCCAGATTATGAGAGACTGATGTAATACATTAAAGACTGCAAGTACAGACTATTCCTTCAGTAACACTGAAAGGGGGGAGGGAGAAATTCTGTAATAGCCTCAAAAGAGTATGGGAATTTTGCCGGGTGTGGTGGCTCACACCTGTAATCCCAGCAATTTGGGAGGCCAAGGCAGGCAGATAGCTTGAGCTCAGGAGTTCAAGACTGGCCTAGGCAACATGGCAAAACCCCATCTCTACAAAACACACAAAAATTAGCCAGGTGTGGTGGTGAACGCCTGTAGTCCCAGCTACTCAGGGAGACTCACTGAGGTGGGAGGATTACTTGAGCTGGGAGGTTGAGGCTGTAGTGAGCCGTGTTCATGCCACTGCACTCCAGTCTGGGTGACAAAGTAAGACGCTGTCTCCTCCAAAAAAAAAAAAAAAAAAAAAAAAAGAGTATGGAGGCTTAAGAAAATTTTTTTAAGGATAGAGAAGATCTGAGTTTGTTTATCGTCCAAGGGGAAGGTGCAAGTTGCAAGCAAGTAGTAGAAGTTGCAAGACAGCAAGGAGGTACACCGTGCTAAAAGCCCAATGCAAGAGCACGGATGGATGGGGATGGACAGCATTTTAACCTTTAAATATCTCCAGAAACTTTAATGTTAACACTTTTGGTTAAAACATCCCAATTATTGGTCATTCACCATTATGCCTCAAATGTCTTTTTCTTTAAAAAAAAAAAACTACTTCAAACATAATAGATAAGGCCATAAAAGAGTAATATAAAATATACTCATACACCTTAAGAAATGCGTTACTAATATGGCAGAAAAAACTCGCAGGTATTCTCTCTCTTTCCTTCGCCAGTAGGTATACCAGTGGTAATCACTCATGTAAATCTTTATATCTCACTACATTTGAATTCATCCCCTAAGCAATACATAGTGTTCTATATGCTTTATATTTTATATAAACACTAACATACTGTGAACAAACAAGCAAGCAATACATTCTTGGGACAACTAGCAAAAATGTGGATATAAACTATCAGAAGATATTGTTGTTGTTCTTTTACTTAGGGGTGATAATGGTATTGTGGTTGTATAGGAGACTATGCTTATTCTTAGGATAATTACCTGTGGAAGGATTAAAGTTGAAGTGCCATAATGTTTGCATACTTACTTTTAAGTGGTTCAACAATAATGTGCACATGCATGCATATATGAGAGAGAGAAAGAGAGGTGTGTCAAGTCAAGATGGGACAATGTTAACCACCACCAGTTTTGGGTGGAGGGTATACGAGTGTTCACTATGTTAGTCTTCTTAATTTTTCTGTATGGATCATGTCAGGTGGATAAAAAATAGGATAGAACACTTTGGCCTATAAGAACAATATTGCTCCTGTTGAGCCTAGTCATCCCCCCAAAGCCTTCACTTTCATTACATGGTTTGTGGGCCCCCATATTAAACAGTTATTTCACCTCTTTGGGGTCTAAGTGGTCAACTGCAAAAAAGAGGTCTCAAGTCTCAATTTAAACCATCAATAAGTGTCTGAGGCACAGCCCCAAAATGGCAGCCCAGGGCTGGTCTGCAGAGTTGTCTAGTTTGACTAGCACAGGATTCTAAAAAAATTAAAAATGAGAATGTAAAAAAGCCAAATACGAATAGATCAAACAAAACAAAACAAAACAAAAAACCAAGCCAACACTATGTTCTCCCAATTCTGAACTACATGTAGTTCACAACAAAGAATGTTTGTGTTTCTGGGCTACTGTGCACGCTGTTTATACTAACTAGTACCTTGTTCTTCACTGGCCTCTAGGCTACTTCCTAATCTGTAAAATGAACATGATACTATCTACTCTGTAAAAGAAGTATTAAATGAGTTAGTAGTGTGTGGGCACAGTAAGCACCCCATAAGGATTAGCCACTGTATCGTTATTAATATTAATAACTTGGTAGGAGCTGGAGATACCTAACTCATAAGAGGCCTTCACTGACTCTCCTGGTCTATTTTGCAAGCTAAAGTTTCTATTACCAATCCTAGTAACACTTAGAAAGATGTTTTAATGTAAATATGTAAAATATGCTGTTAAGTGGGGATTCATAAATTTTTTAAGAGACAAAAGTACAAATCTGGCTCTTCTTTGGAATGCCTTGGCTTCATCATCTGCATTTTCTAGTTGTTTTTTGAGATTGAATCCAGGCTTCAGTCAGATTGCTGCACCCTCCTCACTTCCACCTTAGCCTCCACATCAATGCAGTCCACCCTAGTAAAATTCTTTTAGAAATAGGCATGACGTTTTTCCTTCTCAGACATTTTTTGAAAGCTTCTTCCTATGCCCACACCTGAGGCCTTCTTCTCATCTGAACCCACACCTGTAACACTTTTGATATTTTTGACTCATAGTTATTTTTGAGAAGCAAGATTCTTACACTCCTGTTGTTTCCATCCAAAAACAGGTTCTCTTCATTTCCCCAAGTGAAAAGGCATATTTGACATATTTTCTAAATATACTATCCCACTTCACTGTCTTGTTCAGTACCATTCCACCTTCCTTAGCTCACAGCAGGTACTCCATCATCTGTTGTATAACTAACCTCTCCCGAAGTTTTTAACCACATTTTTCATTATGCTGATGACCAGTACATTTGCTTCCAATCTGACTCCCCAGATGAACTTCAAATGACTAATTGCCTACTACTTGGCATTAGATCTAGTATTAACCAAACTCTTCTTGAAGAGTACAGGTCCTTCTATAAGAGTTATTAGGAAGATAATTTATTTGGCACCTAGATACCAGGCATTAAGGTAGTTCCTTTAATAACATGTCATGTAATTAAGTCTACACAGCAGCCTTATAGGGTTGGGTACTACTGTTTTACAGATTAGCAAAGAAGGTCAGATGTGTTATGGCCAAGCTCACACAGGTAATAAGGTGCTGGGAAATTAGCAAGTAAATATTAACTCAGGACAATGACTTAAATTTGTATCCTTTCCAATAACAATGTGCCTATGCTAGAAAACTCACATTTGTGTCCTCTTCCTCATTACCAATCACATCCTGTATGTTGCCAAAGCACAGCATGGTGGTTACAAGCATATCTTTGGAGTCAGACAGATCTTGATGTGAGTCCAGGATCTGCTACTTATTCACTGTGAAATACCATAATATATTACAATGTACAGAGTAGTTCTTGGTATATAAAAGAGAGCACAGGTATAGAAAGTGAGTAACTACCTGGCACAGTTAGGAAAGACTGCTCAGGCACATAGAGCAATTAAGTAACCTGCCCAAGGTCACACACACTGGGATATGGGGGCACCGGGATGTAAGGCCCTAGTCTATCTGATTCTAGAGACTTCCTTCTTTATCAGTATGCTATACTGCCTCTAGAAGTGTGTTCTTGTATGGGCACCTTCATTCCCCCTCAACCCTAGCACCTAATTCTCTACCTGGCTTGTGGTAAAGCTTTCAAATAGTTGGATAAATGAATGGATGGACAGACTAACAGACCATCAAAACTTTCCAGAACATGTTGAAACAAACTGGGTTTTGAGAAAACCTGTAATCACATACCAGATTTATTTTCTGCCTCACCATCACTACCAAGCTCAGAGAAGCCACTCTGAGACAAATAACTGAATGCATTTCCTCTGTTTGAATATAATTTCTATGAGTGCCAGTCTTTTTATGGCATGTGGTAACTGAATGAGCCTGGGCAAGTTATTTAACATCTTGGTATGTCAGCTGCCTCTACTGAAAGTGGAGGTAAGAACTCAGTCTCACAACGTTGTTGAAGATTAAATGCAATAATATGTATAACTGCTCAGCACATGGCCTGGGGGGAAGGGTGCTCAATTTTAGCTACAGTCTTATAGTCAACTTTAGCTATAAGCTCCTTATTAAAATGGGCAGAACCTGAAGGGAGAATCAGTAATTAAAATAATCATTTTAAAGTAGGTAACTTACAGGAAATATTCTAAGATTCCCCATTCATAACTCCCTATAAAGAACTCTTACATTAAAGCCCACATACTGATGAATACAAATACATCACCAAAAAGCTACGAATTTATCAACTTGCTATACAGCTAATGATGATAAGGTGTGAGTCTCGTAAGAAATGCCTTCTCTCACCTGACTGGTTTTTGCTGTTCTGCACCTCTCCGTTATTTTGTGGCTGTTGATTTGTTAAAGCACTGCTTTCTGACTGGCTGTTTAACACCTTAACAGCAGATCCAAGGTTTGCTGCTATAACAGGAAAATGCTGACCCCTCTTTAGAAGCTGTTTGTGTTCCTGGTGGCGAAATCGTGGAGGTACTTCACGAGGATACCGAGGCAAGGCCTGTGGCTGCTGCTGTGGCTGCTGCTGCTGCGGCTGCGGCTGTGGCTGCTGCTGTGGCTGCTGCTGCTGCGGCTGCTGCTGTTGCTGCTGCTGCTGTGGCTGCTGATTGTTGGCTGTAGCTCGCTTGGCATTATTATTAGTGCTGGTTGCTGTGGAAGTGCCGTTATTAGAGTTGGCAGGCTGAGGCTGGCTTACACTGGGCTTTATCTGTTCTGGCACTAATCCCAACAAAAGAAAAGGGGTGGAAAAGATTAGCCAGTAAAGTGTACCTCCAAAGTAAGCCATCTAAATTCAAAGGCACTAAGAAAAATAATCCTAAAAAAACAGAAGCTTTCTGTGAGCAGGGATATCCTCATTTACAGGCTCAAATTTTGTTAGGAGATGTCACTGCCAAGAGTCATATTTCACTTCTGCTACCTACCTACCCAATAAGGGCCCAGGGACCTTCGGCCAAGACAACAACTCATGTTCACTATCTCTTTTACCACATTACTCTCTGGTCAAAGACATCATCATCGGATCATTACAAAACCAGGGAACTCGCAATGACTCAAAGAACAAATGTGGCCAACCAATTTTCAGTAGTCCTAAGGGAATCCTCTATTCCTTGGCAACTGTTCTTATTCTGCCTCATTGTTAATGTGTTTGGTCTCTATTTTTCATCTTTGGAAGACAACACAAGAACAACACAAGGTTAGAAAACAACCTGCTGGTTTTCTTACAAAAAGGCTAAGTTAACAATGTCTGTATTTGCTAAAAATGTAATATCTGAATCATATAAGACAAACTCAGAACATGGAACTAAAGACAAAGATAACGTTATCTATGAGATGAATCAAAATGAGATAAATAATCTGGATGCTCTATCTTAAATCTGAAAAATAAATCGGAAACTGCAAATAGGGAAATTTTTGACTCATAAAAGAGTGGAAAGAAAGAAATAAAACGGATGGAAATGCCTTAAGCTAGTGTAAGTAAACCCAGTTGGAGAAGTACAGAGATGCATGGTGTATGAGCTTTTGGTGCCAGGTTTCAACCCCAGCCCTGCCTTTACAAGCTTTCTGTCTTTGGGCAAGTTGTATAAACCTAACTGAGCCTGCTGTTTTCTCGGTAAAATGGAGATAGTACCTACACCTTGCAGAGCTATCCTAAGGTTAAATGTCTTCATGTTTATAAAACACAGAACATAAGGCTATATAAACAGTGGCTATTCGTTAATGACTGACACAATACCACCTTATACTTTGGTAGCAGTTGAATGTTTCTATGAAATGCTGTAATGTATCCTCACAGATACCACTGTCAGATAAGTGAAGTGAAACACCCCCATGTTACTGGTGAGGGCACTCAGAGAAAAATCTCCATTCAAGGGTTAAGAGCTCCCACCCTGGAATTAAAACAGCCCACTATTCACCATCTGAGTTACCTCTGTGTCTTTCTCCTCCATAAAGTAGCAACAGTCTTGGTCAAGTGCCCAGTGTGTTGTAACCACTCAGTAAACAGAAGTGAAGTTATTACTGTGTCCAAAAGAAATCTTTATCAAATGCCTACAATATATATGACAATGTCATTAAAGCCTTGGTCACCTGAGTTTACAATAGCCACCAACTTCCTCTTCCACACTCTCAGCTCTAGCCTCCCTTCACCTAACAAACTGATCTCCCCATTTTCTTTCTTCTCTGAACATCTGGTAAATTTAGTCTATGTCATTTATACTTTTTTAATATAATATATGATCTTAGCCTCTTTTTTTTTTTCCATGTGACTTCCATTTTTCTAAAGTAATACAAATTGTAGTTCAGGAAGAATTACAGTGAATAATTACAAATATTCCATCTACTGTTTATAATCCTTTCCATTCTTGATGCTCACTGATGAGTCTCTTACTGATAATTGGGGCAAAGTGCTTTCTAGGCCTAATTATGGGTGAAAATTTTGTCTCCCAGACAATATAATGCTTCTAATATGTAACAATAACGTATATTCCTTCGTGTACCTCATGCAGTAATAAGCAGACACTGGCTATCAAAAACACTTCATGAAGACCATATGGCACTAGAATATTCTAAAGTACCTCTGAAACCTAAGGAAGATAAAGTACAGGCAGCCCTCCACATCCATGTGTGCCCCACCCACAGATTCAACCAACCATGGATCAAAAATACTAAGCAAACAAACAAACCAAAAATAAAAATATAAATAAAAACCAATGCAATTATTTACACAGCATTTACATTATATTTGGTATTGTAAGTAATCTAGAGATGATTCAAAGCATATAGAAGAATGTGTCTAGGTTATATGCAAATACTACACCATTTTATATAAGGGACTTGAACATCCATGAATTCTGGTATCTGTTGGGGGTCCCGGAACCAATGCATCACAGATACCAAGGGACAACTGTATATGTAACATTATGAGGAACATAAAAATGCTTACTCAGCTTTTACATGCTTAGTACTGGACTTAGTGTGGCATCTGGCAATTGAACATCAACTTAAGGTGGCAGCTACCTGCTGCTGTAATACAGGTTTGTTGCCACTTCATTACTTTAAAAATCTAAACATTAAAAAAAAAATTGTGACAGTTTTAGGTCCAAACAAAGTCTGTGAGAAAGGAGCAGGAAGATGCTTTTTATTTATCAAAGAACCAGAAGAAAACCTATATACAAAAACTGTGAATGATCTATATGAAGGCATGAACTCAAGTAACTGCTGTACTTCTGATCAGTAAAGTACCATGTGGAATACAAAGCTGAGATAGGTATTCATTTCCGGGGCCAGAAAGCTTCATTAAAACCAGTAAAGACATCAAGACAATGTAACTACTGATTATTACATGAAGCTAATCTGAAGTACAATCTTAGATACAAAATAAGACATAGAAGTAATGAGTGCAGAAGGAGTAAACAGTGAACGTAGGTGGGGGTTGCTAGGTAACAAATATCAATACTGACTAATACTGGCATGGTTTATGTGTAGTTAAAAATTTTAAGTTAACTATGTTCATAATCACCCAAACCACTGGAAGGGGGGAAAAAGGAAAATTAGAAAACTTCATCTATTCAACGGACATGGAAAATGGAATTTTAAAAAATTTCAAAATTCTGGTTAATGCAAACTAGGATGCTAAATAGAAGCCCCCAATTATCTGTGTCACAATAAATGTGAATGGGTTAAGTTCACTTGTTAAAAGATAAAGCCTCTTAAACTAAGAAAGGAAAAACAATATACTTCGCAAAAAGCACTCCTAAAACAAAACAATGCAGCAAGGTTAAAAAAAAAAGTAGAGAGGAAGATATACAACCAAGAAAGGCTAAGAAAATTAAAATGAAAACAATATTGATATCAGACAAAATTCAAAGAGAAAAGCATTATAAAGGATAAGACAAATTTCATATTCATAATAAAAAAAACAACTAAAAAGATATGAGCAATTAAGCACTTTCATATGCCAAGCCTCATAATACCAAAACATGCAAAATAAATGGAGACAGAGAAAACCGGAAAAAAGCAAAACCATGTATCTTGAAAACAGGTAACATCTTTTTGACAAATGCCCATGAAACAATCATAGGTTAACATGCATGCATGCATGTACACGCGTGCACAAACACACACACATGCATGCCATACAGCAGCAAAGAAAACATCAATAAACTGCAAAGGCTAGAAATAATACAGTGGATATTTCTGGATTACAATACAATGTCACTAAAATGATAAAACTAGCAAATAAAAATCTGCCTTAAATAAATTTCAACTGCATAACACAAATTTTGCAGCTAAAAACAGAAAAGAAAAAGAAGAAAAAAGTACATTTCAAGATGAAGAAGAAATAAACACTAAATTACAGGGTTACCAAGAAATTAATACTGGAAACACTGCATACAATACATTTTAAGATCCAGCTAAACCAGTGCACACAAAAAAATTCATAGCCTTATTTCCAACAAGAACATAATAATCCAACTCAAGAAGGGGGAAAACACCCGCACATACTAAAGTAAAGGAAATAGAAAGACGGAATTAGTAAATATAAAAGAGAGATCAATGACTTTTAAAGTAAATCTATATAATCCAAGGCATGCTTCTATGAAAAAGAATAGTTAAAACTTTATTAAAAAAATGAAAATGGAAAAAAATAACCTTCGGCAATTAATATATTTATGTTCAAATCTATAAATAGTTTGAAAAGCTGGAGGAGGGAGTAATTTAACACTGACTATAGAAGAGGCAGGAAATCTAAACAGATTAGCTAGTTTACATAGAAGAAATAAGACAAATTTATGAAAGTGTCCATCAGGATCAGATAATTTCCCTGATGAATACTACCATACTTTTTCTTTTTCACTAGTATATACTTGTTTTTGGAGACAAGAGTCTCGCTCAGGCTGGAGTGCTGTGGTGCAATCTTGGCTTACTGCAACCTCCACCTCCCTGGTTCAAGTGATTCTCATGCCTCAGCCTGAGGAGAAGCTGGGATTACAGGTGTGTGCCACCAGCCCCGGCTAATTTTTCTATTTTTAGTAGAGATGGGGTTTTGCCATTGGCCAGGCTGGTCTCGAACTCCTGATCTCAGGTGATCCTCCTGCCTTGGCCTCCCAAAGTGCTGGGAGCCACTGCACATGGCCTTTAATAGTGTTTTTTTTTTTAGGCAGGGTTTTGCACTTGTTTCCCAGGCTGGAGTGCAATGGCGCGATCTTGGATCTTGGCTCACTGCAACCTCTGTCTGCCTCCCGAAGTCTTGCAACAACAAGACCTTGTTTCAAAAAAAGAAAAAAGAAAAAGAAAAAGAAACACGTATCTCTAAATCTAATCGCATTTAAATTATTGGAGAGCACAGTAAAAGATGGAGCACCAACATAACACTGTTACCAATAAGTCAGGCTAAATTTTGGTCATCCCAAACAATGGGAATAAAAACAAGAGATATAAATAGCACTGGGAATGAAAAAGACACAAATTCAAACGTGGAGATTACCAAAAGACAAGAAAATACTATGTACAATCTATCCCAGTAAAACAAAACCCAACTAAATTGAACTATGTTATACAACAGGGGTTGGCAAGTTCTTTCTGTAAAGATGAGAGAGTAAATATTTTGGGCTTTGCAGACCACAGAATCTGTGACAACTACTCAACTCTGCCAGTGTAGCACCAGAGCAGTCATAGACAACAGGTAAATGCAAACAAATGGATGTGACTATATTTCGTAACACTGCATATGCAAAAACAGGCAGTGGGCCAGATTTCACTTGCAGACTGTAGTTTTCCAAACTCTGCTTTATCAAATATAATTTACCAAAATAGGCTCACAGAGGAATAGAAGGTCCTATAGTATAACAGCAGAAACTCTGAAAGGGTCTCCCAAGATTTATCCCTCCAAAACACACCAGGAATACAAAAACAAAAAAGCCAGGCACAGCAGCAGATGTCTGTAGTCCTGAGGCAGGAGGATCGCTTGAGCCAAAAAGTTCAAGTCAGGCATGGGCAATATGGTAAGGCCCCAACTCCTGAATAACATAACATAACATAACATAACATAACATAACATAACATAACAACATAACATAACATAACATAAAACATAACATAACATAACATAACATAACATAACATAACATAACATGCACCAGGCTCAGATAACTTTACAGGGGGCGTGTGTGGATGGGTGTGTATCCTCAAGAAACATGTAATATTAATCTTACCTAAACTGTCCCAGGACAAGAAGTATAGGTTCAAAAGACTGGATGGATTCAAATCTCAGCTCTGCAACTTACTAGCTATATGACCATGGGCAAGGCACTTAACCACACTGCCTCTGCTGACTCACATCTCGAATGTTTTGGTCTCAAGGTCCTTTATACTCTGAAACACTGAGAACTCCAAAAGGTTTCGTTTATGTGTGTTGTATATACATTTACCATAATAAAAGTTTAAACAAATATTTTAAGTGAGTTAAAAATAAATTTATTACATACGAACATACATACATTTAAAAAAAATTGTTCTATTTTCCATAACAAAATTAGTGAGAAGCATGGCACTGTTTAACATTTCTGTAAGTCTCTCTAACATCTGGCTTAACAGAAGGTAGGTGGATTATCACATATGCGCCTGCATCCAATTTGTTGTGGTATCCCACACTGTGTCACCTCTGGAAAACTCCACTATATACTCATAATAAAAGTGAAACAGGCAAATAAAGTCTTCCTGTTATTATGAAAATTGATTTGACCTCATGGATCTCATGAAAGAGTTTTGAGGAGCCTCCTAGGGATCCTGTCCTCAGGTAAACTTCGAGAACCATTGCTACAGAATATGCACACACGGGATGCAACTGAATATATGGTTCTGGAGTTCAAAAAAGTTTGGATTAAAAATATGGATTTAAGATTCAACATACAGGTGAGAAAAGAGTTGTAGAGGAAGAAATGACAAAACCTAAGAATGGGTTTAAGCAGCAGATAGAAGGAGGGAAGTAAAGGCAAGAATAAGTCATAACTGCCAGAGTGACGGGAGAGAAACTTCATTTTAGGTAATGGCTTAACTATCTATGTAGTTACTCAAGCAGGAATTTCTTCCTCAATTTCTCCCTACTCCCCTGTATCTAGTCAGTCAACAGGCCCAACAGAATACCTCAAATTCAAATGCATCCTGTGTCTCCAACGCCACTTCTTTGATTTAGGCCCTCAACAATTTACTCTCACAAAAACCTCCTAATGGGACTGCAGGCCTGGCTCAAGTCTTGATCCCTGCCCCACCCACTTTCACGCATCCCGAAATCTATCATCTACCTGCCCCAAGTTATCTGTATCATAAAACCACTTTTGGAACTCCTTTCTAAACTCCTTGGCATGGCCCCTCTCTACCTTTTTCCAGATTCATATCCTGCTATGTCCACACTCACTGCATTCTCTTCTACCACACCAAATACTTGCAATTCCCCAAAACGTATCACGTTCTTTCACGCTATTTCTTTTGCTCAAAATGCCTTGATACCTTTCTTGCAAATATTTTTGTCGTTTTTGCCTAGAAAACATCTAATTTCCCCCACCCCCAGACTGGGCGTATCTTAGAAGCATGTTATGTTATGACAACCAGATTGCCCTCCTCTATTCTGATGAAACTCTTACAAATCCCTTACAATGCAGTCAATGTGCTCTGTAAGTGCTGGTTTCTTATTTCTCCTTCACTTTATCACTAGCATTTCCTGAACCAAGCAAAGCAAATGCTGGTTGAATGAATAATCCAGGAATTGCCAAGCATACACAAAGTGACTGGATCTATGCAAAACAAGATAGAACAATACTGAGGATTAAACACTGTGGAATATCAATATTCAAGAGGTGCAATAATGAAGAACCAGTAAAGAAAAGAGAAAGAATGATCAAGAGGAAGAGTAAGTAAGAATGATGGTCACTGGTTAGTATGCTGCTGAATGCATCAATAGTTTTAAATAAATCTCTGCTCTAAAAAACACCTACAGCTGGCATGGAGAGAGCAGGACAAGACCAGCCACTGAGATCATTAATGTGAGAAGGTTCTCTAATTAGCCCTGAGACTGCCCTGGTCCATATCAAAAAAGATTTTAATGGAAAAGAGTTACATTTAGCTAGGATAAAACATAGATATCTAGTAAAGAGCTCTATTTTTAGGGTTTTTTTTTTTTTTTTTGGTCATACTGTGACCCCACCCATCTATTTCACAGTTTTAAAGAAATGGGAAAAAAAATTTTAACTGGTCCAAAAATGAACAAGTTAAACTTTTAAGAATGGAAAAATTATCTATTCAAAGAATTCACCCTACCTTTTCCTAGTCTGTGTTCCAAATCAGGACCCCCCACTTTGTGAAACAATGAAATGCACCAATAAGACAAATAAATTAATTTTTGCTAAGCTTTGCTATTCTACAAGCTTTCTTGATATTTCTTATATAAAAACATATCATTCTGTAAGTCTAAAACTGTTTTAAAAAATAGCCTCTTAATTGAAAAAAAATAGCAATTGTCTTATATTCACATGAAAACCCAAGAACAGACAATATAACCAAAGTTCTAAATATACCAAGTTCTAAATTTGTAATACCATTTTAATTAATACTTCTTTAAATGTTTAAAATACTTTATGTCACCTTAATAAACTGATTTCAGAAAATATTTAATGAACTTCACTTTGACTATCTACAAGTTTAACAGAAAGAAGTTAAATGTGGACCAGCCAACAATCATCTACCAATCCCCAAAACATCAATTTCCATGCCTTAATACCTCAAGCCCTTACATTATTCCTATCTGTCAAAGTCTACTATTTAACTTTGTATAATAGTTTTCACATTGGCTACTTTGTAAATCTTCTAAAACACTGGCAGAAATACAGTACACAAAACGCTGCTTTAACACATGATGTCACTTTAAGAGACTGGAGTGCTAAGTTGACCTCTAGAAAATATAACTTAGTAAACACCTATAAAATATACAGTGCATTTTAATACTTCTCTTGGCAAACTTTAAATTTACCTAAAATTGCTATTTCTATATGTGTCGTTATATAGGAAAACAAAAAACCATCAAGTTAAGCTCCTAAAAGACAAGATGGAGTGTACCAATGACAGCTCTTCAGTTAGAAAATGTTATTCTCAAGTAAGAGCAACAACAAAGGATTTTCCTAAGTATCTTTCATTGCAATTAAGATTTTTTTTTTTTTTTTTTTTTGAGACAGAGTCTCGCTCTGTCCCCCAGGCTAGAGTGCAGTGGCACGATCTTGGCTCACTGCAAGCTCCACCTCCCGGGTTCACGCCATTCTCCTGCCTCAGCCTCCCGAGTAGCTGGGACTACAGGCGCGCCCGCCACCACGCCTGGCTAATTTTTTGTGTTTTTAGTAGAGACGGGGTTTCACCGTGTTAGCCAGGATGGTCTCAATCTCCTGACCTCGTGGTCCGCCCGCCTCAGCCTCCCAAAGTGCTGGGATTACAGGCATGAGCCACCGCGCCCGGCCCAGGCACACTTTTTAAAAGAAAAAAATTCAGATTGCCTATTAATCTCTCTTCCATAACATAAAAGTACAGAATGGCTCTCTTCAAATTTGCTTATTAGAACTGTTTAGAAGCAAAAGATTCTTCAGCCTTACACTTACTAATCAGAATCCATATATTTAAAAACAAGTATCACATGGGGTTCTCATGTCTGAGTAAGTCTGGAAAACAGTTCTGGAAGACACTGTAGCAATCTCTAGAGAGCTTCAGCTTCCATTTGTGACTCAAAATTTAAAAATAAGAAAAAACATAAACATAATACCTGAACATTCAAGTAGAAGTTAGTTCCCACTGAGTTTTTAATTCCCTAAAGTTATATAATAAAGAAACTGTCATTAAATCACTGAAGATATAAATTAGTTAAGAAATACAGAATGGTTAGTTGATTTTTTAAATTAGGAAAAAAGTCCCAAATATACAGTATAAAAATAAACTTCAGCTAAATTAAACAATTAATACTATAAAATGCTAGAGATTTTAAAAGCTTTTGCAAAACATGGGCAAACTATTTTCTAAATCTGGAAAAATGGTATGTTTTCTCAGCATAGCAATTAGTCAAGAACTTTAAGAATAAAAAATAAATTTGATAAAATAGATAAAATACTGATGTGTATTTTTTCAAATGTGTATATTCCAATTTAAAAGGGAAACTGGAAAATACCTGTCCTTTAGAACAAATTAAAGGGATCCATTCTGTTCCTTCCCAACCCTCCTCACCTCGACTTTCCCTAATCTAAGGAAAGATATGTTTTAGTTTAAGGATACTAAATCTAATACAGAGAAGCATTCAACACACTAGAGTTTAGGACTGAAGTCCAAGCTAATAGTACAAATGTGATTTAATTGTGCTTTCCTCCTTCTGAACATGTATTTGCATCTTCAGCGTATGTATTCCCAATGGGGCACCTGGGATTAGGCAAAATTTAGATATTCTTGCCTCGTATCTCATCCTCAGAATGACTTCATATATACGATATGGTCCACAATGTGGGAAATATTTGCATCAAATACATCTGATGAAATGTTAATGAGTTTATTATACAAAGAGCTCAAGTAAACTGCTAAATAAAACTCTAGGTCCAAGAACTAAATGGGCAAATAGTAAGGATGGGAAATTCATAAAAAGAAAAAAGTGTGGCCGAGCACAGTGGCTCACGCCTGTAATCCCAGCACTTTGGGAGGCCGAGGCAGGTGGATCACTTGAGGTCAGGAGTTCGACACCAGCCTGGTCAACACAGTGAAACCCTGTCTCTACTGAAAGTACAAAAATTAGCTGGGTGTGGTGGCAGGCGCCTGTAATCCCAGCTACTCAGGAGGCTGAGGCAGGAGAATCGCTTGAACCTGGGAGGTGGAGGTTGCAGTGAGCTGAGATCGCGCCATTGCACTCCAGCGTGGGCGACAGAGTGAGACTACACGTCAAAAAAAAAAAAAAAAAAAAGATAAAAAGAAAAAAGTACAAGTGATTATGCATGGCAAACAAATAAATACAAGTCAAAGAAAAAAGACCAATTTTGGCCTGCCAAATTTATGAAGTTGATAGATCCCATCCTCATGTTTTAAGACCTATTCCTTGCACTGCACTGTGATTCACCTTTGCTGGGCTGGGTTCTACTTTAATGGGAAGCAAAAGCAAATCACTTCTGGGTATGGAGGAACCCTGAATTAGCTGGAGAAACTGCTAGCATGTCATTTCAAGGGACTGAAAGGTTGCTAGGATATTGCAAAACCACAATGGTGGATATTAAAATTTACCAAGTATCAGCTAGATGCCAGGCAATGTATCTGTTATCTCTTTATTCTCTTTGTGAGTCCATAAATTTGAAATATTATTCCCATTTTACAGATGAGGCAAATGCAGTTCAGAAAGCTATTCATGCTCGAACGTCTAGTAAATGGCAGAGGTGAAATTTAAAACCCAATGTGACTCCCAAACAAGTGTTCCTTCTAGTATACATTATTTTCATCTTAATTATAAGGGCAAAAACAAACTCTCTAAAAATAAAGGGCTAAGTACCGATTAACCACTTTAAAAATTATTTCATAGCCATTAATGTTTTTTTCATATCTACTTCCTGTTTCCTTTGTCCTGTAGATCAGTCTCATCAGACATAAATTTCTACCAAATTTAATAAATGTATTAGTATTTAAAAGCAACAAATCTACGTTTGTTAGAAATAATCCTTGCCTAAAGCCAAAACGGGTCTCCTTAGCATTCTTCATAGCCTCCCTGAGTACATAAATCTAGACTTACATGTATAAATCTATGGAAATCATTTTCCTTTCACAATAGGAGGAAAGAAAAAATAGTGACTTTGTTACATGATCTACCTAAAAATAATCATTTTATTAACTATTTCCCATGAAAGTGGAAGGCCATTTTTTTTTCATTCTGTTAGTGCAGAGCTACAAATCTTATTTGTTACATAGCTCAAAGACATCTTCCACAGGAAGAAAAATACCTGCCATTAGTAAATTCTTAACCGGTATGAACCTATGCTTCTATTTTAAAGAGGTTAGTGCACATATGCCTTCTAAATATCTCATAAAAAACCACCGTAGCACATTTAAAATCCTGGTATTATTACTTAATACCACCCTACAACACAAAAATCATTTCTACTATGTAGACTGTGGAGAAAAACAGTGAACTAAGCCCCAACTGTAACAGCAGAACTACCCAACCTGTGTGATGGAAACAGGCTATGGGGAGATGGGGTGACTAGACTTGACTCTCTGGGATTGTCATCTTCAGCTGTGAGTGGCCTTTTCTGTTTACCCTAATGGCCCTGCAAGTATCATTTTCTCTGTGTATCATTAGGTTACATGCTTGAAGTTACAAACTACTTGAGCCTCAGTTTTCTCCTCTGAGAATCCAGGCAGTACAGTAACCCCTATGAAGCCATCAAAGTTCCTGAAATTCGTTATAATAGAAGGCTTGTAATTGGGAAACTTAAGGTCTTATGGATTCCCACAAAAATTAAAACTGGAACTACCATATGACTCAGCAATTCCTCTTCTAGGTATACAGTAGTCCCCCTCCTTTTCCAAGATTTCACTTTCCAAAGTCTTACCCCATGGTCAGCCACAGTACAAAAATAGGCGAGAACAGTACAATAAAGTATTTTGAGAGAGGGACCAAATTCTGATAACTATTACAACAGATTATAATTGTTCTATTTTATTTTATTATTAGTTGTTAATCTCTTACTATACCTAATTTATAAATTGAACTTTATCATAGGTATGTTGTATAGGAAAAAGCATATTATTAATAGCATATATGAGGTTCAGTACTATCCGAGATTTCAAGCATCCACTGGAGGCTTGGAACAGATTCTCTGTGGATACAGGGGGATTACTGTATACCCAAAGGAAATGAAATCAGAACCATGTAGAAATACCTGTACTCCCATGTTCATGCCAGCATTATTCACAATGGCCAAGATATGGAAACAAACAACCTATGGATAAATAAAGATGAATAAATTGTGGTCTGGGTGCAGTGGCTCAAGCCTGTAATCCCAGCACTTTGGGAGGCTAGGTGGGCGGATCATTTGAGGTCAGGAGTTTGAGACCAGCCTGGACAACATGGTGAAACCCCGTCTCTACTAAAAATACAAAAATTAGGTGTGGTGGTACGCGCCTGTAATCCCAGCTACCCAGGAGGCTAAGGCACAAGAATCATTTGAACCCGGCAAGTGGAGGTTGCAGTGAGCTGAGATCATGCCACTGCACTCCAGCCTGGGCGACAGAGCAAGACTCTGTCTCAAAAAAAAAAAAAAGAAAAGAAAAGAAGAAATTGTGGCAAATATATACAAAGGAATATTATTCAGCTTTTAAACAGGAGAGCCTGCCATTTGCCACAACATGGATGAACCTGGAAGACATTGAGTGATGTAAGCCAGACACAGAAATAAAAATACTGCCAAGATCTCACTTACAAGTGGAATCTTAAAAAAAAAAAACAGTCAAATACATAGAAACAGAGAACAGAATAGTGGTTAGGGAGGGTAGATATAGGTCAAAGGGTACAAAGTTGCACGTATGTGGGTAAGTCTAGGGATCTGATATATAGTTAATAATATTGTATTGTATACTGGAAATTCGCTGAGAGTAGGTTTTAGGTGCTTCTACCAAAAAAACAGGGTTAACTGTGAGGTGATAAGTATATTAATTTGCTTGACTGTGGTATTCATTTCACTGTGCATATGCATACCAAAACATTATGTTGTACACCTTAAATATATATAATAAACAAGATCTTATGGAGAAAATGGAGTGATAAGTTCAGATCACAGGTAAATGACAAAGGCCTTTAATCACATATTTACCTTTACCAAAATAAAGATGAGAATGGAAGTGCAGTGGGAACAGGAACCTGGGGGTTGTTTTGTTCATGCTTATTACCAGTGACCATAACATTGCATAAAACAGGGTAGGCAAACAGTAAGTATTTCATGAATGATGAATGAAGGAAATAATGTCACTTTATGAAACCTGAGTTTAGAATAATGGATTATTACGTAAGTATTTTTCATTTCCTTCGTTTCTCAAGATGACCTCATGAGATAGTGAAACATGGATGATACTGGCAGTGATGACTGAAAGAAAAAGTAAAGAGGTGCTCTGTTTATTAATGAGAAGGGGACAAACTAAAAACTTCTTCCTTCAACACAAACTTAGCCATCTCAGTCACATTCTAGAGGCTAAACTGTGTGCTATGATTTTAACAAATGTACTGGTCAACAGGCATACTGGAAAAGGATTTAACTGTTATTCAAGCCCTTCAGAAAGGGTCCTCCACCCTTTGAAGAATGATGAAATGAAGGGTTCTTTTTTAGCAAAATTGTCATTACATTTCCCTTACAGGTGTAGCAAAAAAACACTTTGAACGTAATTTAGTACTCTGGTTTTGCTCCACAGAAGGATCAGTGTTTACTGCATAGAGATCAAAGCATGCAGGAGATTTTAGAATCAGCTGCTTGCTTGGCTCTCAAAACTCTTGTTCATTTTCATCAACAACCAAAGATGTAATAAACAATTTAAGAGCCAATGCCTCACCCATCACAAAGCTGTCAAATTCTCTGATTCACAAAATTATACTGGTGCTACAATTTAAAAAAAAAAAATCTACACGCTTAATCAATAGAGAAATACTGTAAAATCTGTTCCAAGATCTTTCTGGATTCCTTTTAAAAGATGAGTTGTTTTAGTTTATTCAGTGACTACTGTTGCAGCATGAGCAATGGTGTGTCCTTCACATCTTGTCTTCCATGTAACTGCAGGGGCTGTTTTTAAAGAAACAGAAGCGGTAGAGCCCAGTCAAGTTCGTAGTCAAATTCTGGCTCAGGCATTCGTTAGCTGCATAACCTGGGCAAGTTAGTTAATTTTTCCTAGCCTAATTTCACCTGTAAGTGGTGCTAATATCTACTTTCAAAGGGCTGCTGAGAGGATTAAACGTAAACTTACCTTGTGCTAGTATACACTGAAGGCCTACTCTCACATCAATTTTTAAATATAGACTACGTGAGTCCCAGAATACCCAGCCCCTGCTCTGGATCCCAAAGATTTCCAAAATTCAGTAACTAAAGTAACTCTTAGCACATTAAGAAGCTTTCAGGACCCTGTTCTGAACTGCTGATACCCATTCATTATTAGTGGTTAAATATTTAGAATATTTTCCTTGATTAAATGAAATAAAGCACAGTGCCTGGCACATAGAAGGTGCTCTAAGTCAGCTATAATAATGTCTACAATATGATTTGACATGCAGCTGACTTAATAGATAGTGAATATTTTTATCACCCAGATGTAGTAACATTGTGTTTGACAGAAAAACAAATATTAAGGCTAGAATTGATAAAAAATAACTGTGCCAATTGTGGCAGGAAAAAATGTATAAATGTTGACTTAATTTCATGAGTTTTTAATTAACCCAGAAACAGAGCGGCAGTAATAAACTAAACTTCGCTATTTTATCACCCAAAAAATAAAATCTCAATCCTTTTTTCTCCATTGCTGTTTCCCACTAGGATCTCCCCGGGCTTCCCATAACTCCCTTAGGAGCTCAGGGGTTTATTACTCTTTGGAAGATACCTTGCTCATGAAATCACTCAAAAAAGGCACTGGCACTGATATGAAGGAGTGAGACAAGAAGGGGAAGAGACAGAGGAAAAAGAGGTCAGGAGAGAGAGAGAAAATTAGCTGTCAAAAATCAACAGTGCTTACTTATTCTTTTGAAATGAATGTACAATCAACATGCTTCCCAAAAAACCCAATGTCAGCCAGCTGCGGTGGCTCACGCCTACAGTCCCAACTACTCAGGAGCCTGAGGCAGGAAGATCGTGTGAGTCTAGGAGTTTGAGACCAGCCTGGGTAATGTAGCATGATCACGTTTAAAAAAAGAAAAAGAAAAAAAAATAGCCTGCCCCTACAGTCCCAGCTACTCAGGAGGCAGGAGGATTGCTTGAGCCCAAAAGTTCAAGGCCGCAGTGAGCTATGATTGTGCACTACACTCCAGAGCGAGACCCTGTCTCCTTAAAAAAAAAGAAAAAAAAAAGTCAATGCCAGAGTTGTAAAACTGTTTTTAAAAAATTTTCTTATTCTCAACCAAGTTCCCAAGGACACTCTGAAGAAGGAACATTAGCTCTTTCCTTGCCTTTACATTACATATACCACAGGGCATCTTAAAATTTATCCATCTATCCCTATACCTCACCTGAAGTTTTTTAGCACTTCACTCTCCTGCTGTTTCAAGGACATACTCGTAAGAGACATATTTTAAAAGATTTTTTAAATATTCAAATATTTGTGTTCTTTACAGTTTTTCAAAGTTGAAGTCACAAGAATAAAACTTTCAAGAACGTCATTACGTTGCCCATTACACTTTAGAGCTATGTTGTCCCGTAAGATTAAAAATTTAGTTCCTCAGTCACAGTCCCATTTCTGGTACTTGACAGCCACATGTGGCTAAACTTGGTCTTTACACAGACTCTACAACACAGAAAGAGAAAAAAATCATACTGACATTATGAACTGTAAGAGAAGCAGGAATTCTGGAATAGGCAGACTCTTCTGATTTTTAAATGTTGGCAGTCATTTTAAAATGTACAGGATAACAATAAAAACACTGCAGAAACCAGAAACTGGGGAGGCCTGACAACTAAATGCAAGGCAGCATTTCGCATCGGATCCTAGAATGGAAAGCCGTTAATGGAAAAACTGGTGAGGTTAGTATCATGGTTGGTTTTTTAGTTTTGACAAATGTACCATGGTAATGTAAGATGCTAATAATCGGGGAAACTGAATGAAGCGTATATGAGAAGTCTCTGTACTATCTTTCCAACTTTTTTGTAAATCTAAAATTATTCCAAAATACAAAGTTTAGTAAACACCACCACCACCAAGTAGGCCACATCTGCCCCTCAAGTCTCCAGTTTGTAATCTCTAACCACTATGTGAACCCCAAACTATAAATACTACCTAGACAAATACATAGCACAGAAATAAAACAATACATTTTCATGAATCAGAAAAAATGGGAACAATTATGAAGAGAGACAGCGTGAAAAGAAGGATGACATGAGTGAAATCACTGGCAAAACAACAAAATGTATTCTGAAGTGACCTTCATATACTCAGCCTATCATCTACAGAGTCGTGGAAAAATCTAAAAACAAGAAGACTAAATATGTTCATATTTTATGTAAGGCTAGAAGAAAATTATTTACATTTAGAAATGATATAAACACTAGGTACTCAAAGATGTTGAAGAAACAAATATCCAAGGATCAGTCAAAAATGTAAGAATATAACCAAGTGCCCAAATTTGAGATTATAACATCCTAAGAAACTGGAAAGGGAGAGATCAATGGTACTTGGAGAGACCCATTCAAGGATGAACTCTGAGAGGTTTAGGAAAGCTGAAAGGCCTGATAAAGACATCTTTGGCTGATAAATTGAATAAAAAAGAAACAAGAATGAACATGAAAGAGCTAAGAATGCTCTAAAAAGTATAAGGACTGATGGGAAACAGGCTGGTTAGGTCAAGGGAGGTTAGATTAATGAGGGCCTTGAAAGCTAAGCAAAGGAGTTTGGTCTTGAAGCAAGAACAAATAGGGACAACTTACCATTGCTATGTGGGGGAGAGGGGTGGGGAAAATAGAGTTTTAGGAAAATTAATTTGGTAACATTCCTACTAATTTGGCAATGTTCCTCCCTACATTCCGCATCCTTGTAACTGTCTTAGACATTCCAAGTTCAAAGCCACAAATGCGCCTTCAACTCCTCTTCTGATCTCATCAGTTGCCAGTCCTGTCAATTATCCCTCACACATCTGTCACCCACCTTCTACCTCTACTGCCAAGACCTCAGTTCAAACCCTCATGACCCTCTCTAATCTTGCTTCTATTGGTGACTTTAGGCACTACTGGCAAAGTTAAATTTCCACAGCTTATGACCATGACATTCCAAATCCAAACACCTTTGCTGGCTTAACCAGCATGAAGCCCTGTGGCTCCCTCTATCTCCAGGCCTATATTCAGTCACTTCCCCCCAACTCTAGAGACAAAAGATGCACGTCGTATTCCCCATGCTGTCTACCTGCCTCCTCTGCTCACAATGCCTTTCTTCTCTTAGCTCTACCTTTCAAATCCCTACCTGTCTTCCAACCAATACTTTCCATGTACAGTAGTTGATAGCTTTAAAAAATGGAAAACAACGTAAAACAAAGCACCATGTCACTCTGCTTAAGTCTTGAATGCCTCCTAACTGCCTGTCACATACAAAGTCCAAGCTTGTTGGTACAAACAGCACATAAATTAACCCACTTTGACCTGGCCCCTATCTATCTTTTCAGCCTCAACCCTGCCCACTTATCACTGAATATTTAACGCTCTAGGAATACCACCACTGCATACTACATCATGTTATGGAATTCCACCACTGCAAGCCACATCATGTTATTTCTTATCTCTGTGTCTTGAATCATGCTTGAACCATTTCATTCCTTCTTTGAACCATTTCATTCCTTTATTCATCTTTTTTTTGAGGGGTAAGATTATACTTTTGATAGAGCTTAAAATAAAAATTCAGAATCTTGAGGCTTAATAAGTTCAGCACCTGAGAGCTTTACACCTTTATTACCAAGTAGCTCCTGGGAGGGTGAAGAACTCCTGATTCAGGATCTGAGAGGAATTAGTGTCCTGTTTCCTTATCACTCCGATGTCTTTTGCTTGGGGTCTAATGGGTGCTGTTCAAACCTGACACAATGTGTAAGGTTTGCAATCTACTATTCTAAGTGATAATACAGAGATGGATGTCACTATCTGTCTATAAGAAGGAATGGGGGACATTCTTCAGAGAACAAGAAATAAAGGAGGCAGAACTCTTAAGGGATACAGTGGGGTCCTAGAGGTTACCCCACACAAGAAGACTTTTAGAAGGAAGACTGAAGGAAAGGTGCCTGTGCCCCAAGAGTCAAAACAAGGGAGTACATTAGGAAGCAGTGCTTACTCTTATCCTATGACACAGCTTTAAGGCAGGTCTGAGGCAGTGCACTCTAAATGTGGTCACATACACCACAATAACCATGAAATTCCAAAGGACGACCCCAGGGTATGTTACTGAAGAAGGCTAATCCCAACCGCTTCTTTCATGCTCTTCTCTCTCCCATCCTTGAGGTGAACAAAAATGCACATAAACAACCTTGCTTTAATGAAAAAAGGGATAAAAAATAGCTTTAAACAACGTACCTTTGATTTTTTGTTCAGTGGCCTAAAATAAAAACAAACAAACAAAAAACAATGTAAATATGAAACTGAAAGAAATGGACTGTTATGATAAAATGTTCATATATTAATATAAGACATATACACCTTTATTAAACAAGGAATTTCTCAAATAGATGAACTGCACAGGAAAAGATATGCAAGGAAAGCATGCTTTTCCCACAGATGTGCCCCATTATCCCTGATACTATGTTTATTAATTTAAAATACCTAATTTTTGTGACACTAAGCATAGAAGACATCACTGTATGACAGTATATAATTTTTTAAATGGGAGCTGCACTTTTCTCATGTCCTTTAAAAATGATTTTTATACAAACTGTCACCTTTACATTTAATGGATTTAATATATTTTGCATGTTTAAATGGCTTCAAAAATTGTTACAAGTGATAAAAAGACGAATTAGGTTTTCTGTAAGAAAAGCTGTACATATAATCACTTTAGCCAAATTAGTAATAAATTTAACTCCTGGAGGTTAGGCTGCTATTGCAATTAAACTTAGTCAACTTTTAAGTATCTAAGTATTTTTGAGTGGAAAAAAATTTCAAACTGATTTATCACTTCTGACACATCTGACAATCTGTTAAAATTACTGTGATCAGAAGCTGAACTGACATGAACTCTGCTTTCACTGCCTTCCAATGTCTGCTCTTCCTTTATTTTCTGACACCACAACTGAGGAGAGGGGCTTGAGGACAGCAGGGTTAACTCGAGGTGACTAGCTCAAACTCCCAAGGGCTTCAAAAAGAACCACAGACAGAAAAACCCAAGCAAAACATCAATCTGTTGATCAAGATCAATATTATGGGAATCCTGAAAATAACAGATACAAGAACAGGAAAGGAGGTGAGAAAAGACTGAATAATTAGTAACTGAATAACCAGTTGTTGTTTCTAAATAGCAATAAAGCTTTTCTTAGCTGCCATGGGGCATAATTCATTTTGCTTAGTTATATGAAATTACTGTTATCAAAAATACCATTTTAAATTATACTATTATAGATATATGGGTAAAAGCTATAGTAACTCCCTAATATTGAAGCCACACCAAACATTAATCTTTCCCCAGAAAGCCAGGGAGTCTTGCTCCACCACGTAAGTGCTTTGCTAAGTTTTAGAGCACTAGTGAAATACAAAATAATGGAGGCTCATCTTTTACTCTATGGATCAAAATTTAAATGAAAAAAAAAATTTTGATGGAAAGACAATGCCAAACAACCAGTCAACTAGCTAACAACACTTCATTTGTTTCTGGGAAAATCATTTTTAAAATCTGAGAGTAGAAAAACAAGTCTTATTAGAGAGAAGTTAGTATATGAACACTTTTAGGTATCAGAAATGTCATGTCAAACAATAAGATGCATAATCTTCTGAAGCCAAAGAATTAGCAGAAAATTTCTTTTACACGTTGAAAGGCTTAAAAAAAAACAAAACAAACAGACAAAAAACACTCTCCTGGTCTCTTTCACAATTTACTTCCAATGGAAACTAAGTTTCAGAACATAGAAACAATGACCACATAAAAACCCAAAGTAGGCCAGGTGCAGCTCACGCCTGTTATCCCAGCACTTTGGGAGGCAGAAGACAGGCAGATGCTTGAGGCCAGGAGTTTGAGACCAGCCTGGCCAATATGGCGAAACCCCATCTCTACAAAAAAGCAAAACAAAACAAAGTATACCATGTTGCTCTTTTAGGCCTTACAACATAAAGGATATATGCTATACAACTCCTTTGGAAAAAGATGCTTTAAAACAACGGTCAACCTCATTCAGTATTCTGTCATCAACAGAGAATGGCCCCATGGAGACACCTAAGGTGTGTCTGCCCCTAAGAATCGGATTTAATGTATACAAGGAATGAAAGTAGTAGTATAGAAACCAAGAGCTCCTCATGGAATGGGAAGAAACGGAACTAAGAGTTCCACTTTTTTAAAACAGGTTTTTGCGGGCTGGTCTGGAGACCTAGTATATTATTCAAATTATTAAAAAGAATTTTCCAGGTGGGATCAGTCATTTTAAGAGTAATTGTCTGCACTATCCAAAACAACAGCCACTTGCCACATGTGGCTACCGACCACTGACTGAAATGTGGCTAGTCTGAACTGAGATGAGCAAAATACACACCAAATTTCTAATATTTGGTATTTTTAAAAGAACACAAGATGCCTTATTAAAAATACTTTATACTGACATGTCAAAATAGTAACATTTTAGCTATATTAGGTTATATAAAATATATTAAAATTAATCTGGTTATTTTTACTTTGAAATGCTCTGATCATTTAAACCCTCTGGGTCTCAGTTTCCTAATCTCTCAAATGGACAAAATAACTGTCCTGCTTACCTTTCAGGGTTATTATGAGGGTCAAATAATAAAATGTGAAAGATTTTTTTTGAAAAACTATACAACACTACTTCAAATGTGAAGTATCACTGTAAATCCTCTCATACAGATAATTAAAAGATTCTGGCCAATCTAGAAGCAAAATGATTTCCATTTTTAATACATTATTCTTTAAAAAAAAAATCTGAGCTATGGTTCCACCAGCAATGATCACAACTGCCTCCTTCATTACTGAAGACAGCAGTGCAGTGGCAGAGCACAGCACTCCACTTGCTTTGCCTGTCAGGCTCTGCACTGCTTGTCCCAACAACATGGTCCTGAAGCACACTTCGTTAAGACCTCAGGATCTAAAGCCTGACTGCCTACCTGGCTCTGCCACTTACACTGTGTGACCATGGTCAAATGTGTTAACTTCTCTAAAGCTTAGTTTCCTCATCTATAGAACTGTGGCAAAAACACCCACCTCAGAGTTGTAAGGTTAAAGGGATTTAACTCATATAAAAGCACTTAGGACAAAGCCTGACATATAGAAAGCATTCAGCAGACATCAGCTGCTGCTGTGGCGCTGGCGGCTGCTATCTTCAGCCTATCTGCCCATGCTTTGGCTCAGTATTGGCTCTCACTGTTGGAAATAAGCTGACTCTACATTCATCCCTTCCAGGTCTTGCTTTTCTTTTTTTCTGATCATCTACAATGTCTTAACAGTGCCAAGTATTACAACCTAACATTAAGAATAAAGAATTAATCTAGCTCAATTCACTGATTTTAAATGAGACACCTAGTGCTCAGAGAGCTTTCCTATGACTTAGCAATCAGCACTCAGTCTAGAATCCAGATCTGTTGAATAAAATGAGTTTTATAAAAGAGGAAAAGAGAAGTGTAAGGTGCAATGAGGGGCAAGACTGTAAGAGAACACCTAACTGCCCTCTATGAGAGCACAACTCAGGCCTGGTCATGTTACCACCAAGGTTACTGAGAAAATTTACTAATTAAGCTGCTGAATATGATCCTCAAAAATGGCAATAAAGCTGGAAGCTCTCTAAAACCTAGGTCTCATTTAAACTTGAATTTGGTATATTTAAGTCAATAACACCTATAAAAATCCCTTCAGCTCTTAACACAGTAACAGCAAAAAGCCCATGGATGTTGAAACATTCTCAACACCAAGAGATCCCAACTTGTATTGTTGCTTCCCCTCGGCCTTCAACGATTATATGCTTTCTAGGAACTACAATTGCATGCTTCAAGTAAAGGTTACACTAAACTACCCCTCTATAATTAACCTATTTCTCAACCTCTATTTTCCTCCTCATTACATTTCCCTTAAGATCCCTTGGAGAAATTTCTTCTAAAAACAGAACCTGGAGAGAAATCCATGGTAACCTACTGCTACTACTGTCACCCCCCTCCTTTTTTTAAAGTATGGAAACTACATTTCCATGCTCTGTCAAATTATTTTCTAAGCCCAAGAATCAGAAAATAATAGCCCTGGTTCTTAGATATGAAACAGAAAAGAGTGTTATACATAATCTTTGATGAAAAGGCTTTTCAAAAAATTTTAAGAACAAAAGTCATCGGTCTCCATATTAATTAGAAATGTATTGGGGCTGAAATACAATACAAATCACCCTGTTTTTAATGTGAAAAAGCTCTTTAAAGAATCTAAATATGTAAATTAATATTTAAATGATAGGATAATAAAAACTATCAAAACGAAAATATCGTTGTAAGGCTCGTCGGTGTCTAATTGTTTTTATAGGAAGTTGTGTTATCTGGCTTTTTATTTAAAATAGAAAATAACCCATGGTGTTAATTTTAAAAAAACCACAGTGGCTACTGGGGACCATTAAATGTATGCATTTTCTGTATTCATGGTATAAGAACCTATTTTATACCCTATTATAAAAATTATCACAATATATTATTTTCCAATTTTAAAGTTCACCTTTAAATGACAAAAAATAAAGCAAAGTATAAGATAATGTTCTGCATGAAAAGGATAAAGTCATGGCACAGGGTTTTGGCAAAGCACCAGCTGGAGGAGAGAGATTTCAATTATATTCCTGGTTCTGTCACCATGATAAAACCAAGGTCAATCACTTAATTCATTCTGATGCTTAGGTTCCTTATATTAAAAATGAACAAATGTATTAGAACAGATAATATCTGGCCTTTTTCAAAAATAAGAAAATATAAATTACATAAAATACTTTTTACTGTAGTGAGTTTATGTGCCAACATTTATATAAATGGGCCTGCCCACCTGGCTCATGTAGATATCTGCCTGGATACACCTGCTGGCTCCTACTAGCGACAAAAGACAAGTTCCAGGAAACCTGTCTTAAAAACCCTGTGACTCACAATTCCTCATATGGGCTATAAGTGTGTCATTTGGGGGTTTTCTTTTCTTTTCAAGAGCTATCTGGTAACACTCTATGGAAATACCAGCTGTCCTCACTTCACCGACAGGTTGTATTCAAATTCAGTTGTAAGCTGATTATTTGAAATTTGGAGAACAGTCTAATTTACAGTAGCGGCCTAGCCTGCTAAACTTAACATTTATTAGAGGTATTAAACCTTCCTTTATATTGTGTTCAGTGGGTAGATACTATGATGTGTCTATGAGACACACAGGAATACCCTATCAGTGCTGAAGATCTGGCAAAAGAAGGAAAAACTTCTTATATCCCTAAGCTTCTGATGATGGTTCTAGTAAGGACATGGTTGAGGTGAGAGACTGGAACCATGGGGTGAGACAGGAATGAAGTGGGCAACAGTATGAAAAGCTGTCACTTCAGATTTGGTGAGAAGTCAAATGGCACAATAATCACCACTCATGTGTTACAGGCTTATTTATAAGCTGCCTACACATAAGTGACCACTTATACTGACTTGGTGATTTAGAGATTTGATTATACAAGAATGTAAAGATTTACTTGTAACAATTAGAGCCATTGCTGTATATGTTACAACTTTAAAATTATATTCACAAAAATACAATATTTAAAGACATCATTCAAGTGACCCCTCCCTTTCTTAAAATTTCTCAGTAAATAGAATAAATTCCAAACAAATACGCTTATATATTGTCTTAGGCCTCTTCTCTAGCCATTTCACATACATTCTGACTTATCAGCTAATTCTTGAACTCCTTAGACACAGGGACCAACAGAGCCTAATTCAACACTCAGATGCTTGCCAAACTACTGAATCTACATAAAGTATATCCAACCATCCTTTTCAATAAACCTCTTAAGTTTCTTAGAAGCTCTTTTCATTGGGCAAATGGCCTTTCACACCATGGAACAAGAGTCTGATAAGCCTTTACCCCAACCTCAGACTTACAGAGGACACAACTTTCTCATAAGAAATCTCGAGCAATGACCGACCAGACTGCAAAGACTGTCCTACATAAACAGCCTCTGACAGAGGCCCAAGACATCCATCAATACCAAACCACGAGAAGCCTACCAAAACCCTAACCATGGCATATACCTATGCATCCCTTCCCAGGCACCCCTAAGAGCAAGCAAAAGGCAGGTGGCTAGGGCCACATCATCTCCTCTCATCTCATACTTAATTCTCCTCCCCTAATACTTGCTGATGACACCCCTAGGCTCAGGACATGCAGAACTGAATTATTTATCATTTCTCCTTTCTTTGTATCCCCTAGCCTGATTAACTCCTCTCAAATGTAGTCACTCATCTGGAACCTGCGAGTCAATCTAAGCTGACTCTCCCTCTATATCCTTTAAACAAATTCTGTGGATTACTTTAATAGTCCCTTCACCAGTATTTCACACTCTGGTATCTACCCCCTCTAAACCAATTCCACAATTTTCCAAGGTAAACATACTAAAATACAAACTTTTATGTCACTCTACTAAAACATTTTCAGCATTTTCCCCAAAGCCTTGAGAAAACCTCCTAGCCTTTCCTAGTTCAACTCTTCAGAGTTCTACCCTTGGTTCCCTCCCTTTCCCCCAAGCAAAACCCATCCTTTAATGCATACAGGCTACCAAGTATTTCTGAGTTTTCACTGTTTGGAATCCTTTTCTATTCTGCTCCTTATTCACCTAATTTCTACTCTAACGAAATTTCTCTGTCCCTCTGCCCCATTTCAGCCTGAGTTATGCACCTCTCTCTCTGTACTGCAACAGTTCCCCATAAATGCCTCACCTGCCATTTTTACAGCCTGTGTTTTCCCCTATTAAATAATGTGGACATAAGTATCTTGCTATAGTCTACATCCAGTTCCTAGCACAATGCCTGGCTCAAAAAAGGCATATATTAGAAATTAAAATAATTTTTCATTACAACAGATAATTGAAACAGTAATTTCACTAGGTTTTTAGAGCATTTTAATGTCTTGAAACCTTGACATAGTAGGAGATGAGTGCCCATTTAGCTAACTATTATCAGTTTTTAGTATTAACAATACTAATACAATTGTTTGGTATGTAACAATTAAATGGAAAATTTTTAATAATTACAGATTTTTTTAACTTACTTTGCATTGAATTATAGTTTCCTATACTAAATTAGCTAGTTTAGAATTCCCTTGCAGTAAACAATGTCCGAGGTTTATTTTAAGGCTAATGTACACTGCACACTTTAAAAATCAGCCCAGGTACTAAATAAAGAGGGAAAAAGAAACTGACACTTTACTTCCTATTATGTCTATTACATTTTCCTTTAATACTCTATTTCTGTATTACATATAATAACATCATCTCAATTCAACCCTCATTTAACAAAACACAAGGAAACTAAGGCCCAGAGAGGCTAAATAAAATCTAAAGTCACACCATTCTATGTGCTATGTGGGAGAGTGAGATTTCAAATACTCTCAACTTGGCTGCAAATTCCATGCTCTTCCCACTTATAAAATGATATATTATGAAACACCTAGGAACAGCTATTTGAAAGATAAAGATCCATAAAATGTACTTACCTTTGAAAAACTATTGACAAGATTAAATATGCATTAAATTGTACAAACTCAGCAAGTTACTTTATATGCATATTCAAAGACATTAAATATTAAAATGAATCTCCATTAAAGCTAAAACATTAAATCAAATAAATGCCTTCAAAATCTGTAAGAGTAATTTTTTTTTAATTCTATGTTTAAACTGCTTAATATAAATAGTTTACACACATACTACCTTCTTTTGAGCAGCTTCCTTCTTTTTCTTGTCGTCTTTTTTCTTTTTCTTTTCTTCCATCAACTGTTCTTCTTCTTGCACTAAATCCCTGAACCACACAGTTGCAATTAAGTTTCCCAAAATGTATTAAGAAATAAAAATAATGTTGCATACAGATTCATTTTCACTTTTTCACTCTTATTAGAAGACATGGCAAATTATTATTTTATCATTCATTGAAATAAAACACAACCTGCAACCTAACCCTAACTATATAGCCACTATATGGTACAATTCACTTTAATAAGCCACAAGTAGCACAGCTTTTATCTCAATATCATATCAAGGAAGACAACCTAAAATTAGCAAATTTTACATTGGGAAACAAGCAATTTCCTCCAATCCTAGAATGTAAACTTCATCATTTAAGCTGGAGTTACCTTGCTACTGGCCCCAAGTATCAATTAGTAGCTAATGGCAATGCCTGAGACCTCCCCACAATCCTCTCTCACCTAGGTTTCTGGAAGCTACCTTTAGTTTTCCTTGCTCTAAAAAGCTTTGTAAATATTTTTAGAATATAACTTATTAATAAATAGGTGATTTGTATTTCAGCATTACAACAATTTCATATTCTATCAACATTCCAAGGTATTCTATCAATTCTTGGGAAACAATAACGTACTCTTGTTTGTTCTGAGACAGAGTCTTGCTCTGTCACCCAGGCTGGAATGCAGTGGCATGATCTCTGCTCACTGCAGCCTCCACCTCCCGAGTTCAAGTGATTCTCCTGCCTCAGCCTCCCGAGTAGCCGGGTTTACAAGTACCTGCCACCATGCCTGGCTAATTTTTGTATTTTTAGTACAGACGGGGTTTCACCAAGTTGGCCAGGCTGGTCTCAAACTCCTGACCTCAAGTGATCTGCCCACCTTGACCTCCCAAAGTGTTGGGATTACAGGTGTGAGCCACCACGCCTGGTCTAATAATGTATTCTTCATATTAGTTTGTTTAAATTTTAAAAATCTCAAATGGTTAAAGTTGTCAACAGAACCTCTGGTTCAGGATTTCAAAGTGACAGACTGCGCAAATGTGTTTCAGGAAACAGGTTATTACCTTTCAGGAAAAAGGGTTATTACTTTTTTATTCTATTCAAAGCAAATGAATAAGCAAAAGCAAAAGCCACCCCACCCAAGAATAAACATAAGAGCAGTCTGAAATAGATGTTTTAGGCACCATCCTTTCTGGTGGAGCTCTAGAGAGGGTTCCAGAAGACCAGAGCAAGAGAGCATGAAGCAAAAAGACTGCCTAAGGAATAGAAAAGCCATAGCTACTCAACCCCACCCACTTCCCATCCAGATGCCTACACAGCCACAGATAGTAGCTGCTTCTAAATGCAGCCTCAAGCCAAAGAAATACTCTCTAAAGAAACAAAACCTTCCACAGGAGTCTGATAGGTGCTTGAATGGGTTTGGTTGTCCCAGAACAAAGCCCATCTTACTGGAGGCTGCTGCCACTCCCTCCATCACACTGTAAAGTA